>NC_000021.9:8099839-8260971 GCF_000001405.40 Homo sapiens
GATCACTTGAGATCAGAAGTTTGAGACTAGCCTAGTGAATATGGCAAAACCCTATCTCTACTAAAAATACAAAAGTTAGCTAGACGTGATGGTGCACGACTGCAATCCCAGCTACTCTGGTGGCTGAGACTGGAGAATTGCTTGAACCTGGGAAGCGGAGCCTGCAGTGAGCACATCTCGCACCCCTGCCCTTCAGCCTGAGTGACTCACTAAAACTCCATCTCCAAAAAAAAAAAAAAAAAAAATGTTGTCAGTACTACTCATGATGATATAAAAATGTAAGGTAATTTTTGTCAAAATCCCAATGGTATTTTTTTTGCAGAATTTTTGTGTATAATTCTAAACGTTGCTTAGGACAGGTGACTAGCCAAACACCCTTTAAAAAGAACAAAGAGGTATTACATTTTCTGATTCAAAATCATGATACAAAGCTACAAAAATAAAAACAATGTGGTATTGCCACAAAAACAGATACATAGATGACGAAACAGAATAGAGATCCCAGAAATAAACCCTTGCATATGTGATAAAATAATCTTCCGTAAGCTTTCCATGACCACACAATAGAAAAATAAGAATCCATTTAACAAAGAGTTTTCCAAATTGAATATTTACAGAGAAAAAAATAAAGTTGGATGCTTCCTTTGTATCATATATAAAAAGAAAAGTTTTTAAAATGAATTCAATACTTAAACATAAAACCTAATAAAATTCTTAGAAGTAAACATAAGGGAAAAGTTTATGACATAAGTCTTAAAACTCTTTCCTTAAGTTTGACATCAAATTCATAAGCAACAAGGAAAAGAACAACGACCAAGAAAAGGGACTACATTAAGCTTCAACTATTCTACACATCAAATAAAACATTTAGTGCCATACAAACGTCACCTAATAAGTGGGTGAAAGCTAGGCATGGTGTCTCATGCCTTTAATTCTACAACTTTAGGAGGCCAAGGCAGAACAATCACTTGAGACCAAAAGTTTGAGACTAGCCATGAAAACATAGCAAGACCCTGTCTTGTATAGGGTTATATATATGCATACATACATACATATAACTAAAAAGAGTAAAAATATTTTCTAATCACATATTTGGTAGGTGTTAATTTTCAAAATATATAAATTCCTAAAACTCAACAACAAAAAAAGTTAATAACTTGATTTAGAATGGCACATGTTTGAAATGACTTTCTCCAAAGAAGACATAGAAATGACTAGGCATTTAAAAGGATACTCGACAACTCTCTTCTAGAAAAATACAAAGAAAAGTCACAATAATCTATCACATCAAACCTATTTTTAAAATAGTATGAAAGCTCTTCAAAAAATTTAAAATGAGATTATTATACAATCCAGCAAACCCCATTCTGGCTATGTATTTAAAATATACAACACATGATCCGGAAGAGATATTTGCACACCCAAATTTATTGCAGCATTACTAACACAAGCCAAAAGGCAGAAACAACCCAGCTGTCCCTTGACCAATGAAGAGATTAACAACAAGTGGCACATACACAAAGTCGAATATTATTCAGTCTTTAAAAAGTCACATTATATGATTATTCTTGAGAATATCACGTTAACTGAAATAAGCCAGGAACAAAGTGACAGTCTATGATTCCATTCATAATCAGGTATCTTAAGTAGACAAACTCATAGAAAAAAAAAGTTAGAATGGTGTTTGTCAAGGACTGAAGAGATGGTAAAATGGGCAATTGTCTTAAAAGACATTTAATGTTAGTTTTGCAAGACATAGAAGTTCTACAGATCTTTTGCATAACTATGTGAATGTACTTAACGCTAATGAAATATACACTTAAAAAGAATTAAAATGGTAAATTTTACATTATGTGTTTTTACCACAATCGCAATTTTTAAAAGGAAAAATATGGACTTATAAAGCTTTCCAAAAATTAAATTTTGTTCACAAAAGATTTTCTCTCACACAAAGGAAGTATAGATTTATAATTAAACACATTGTGAAATTAAGATTATTTCAATGACTATTCATCCACACAAGATAAGACAACCACTGAAAATCAGCCAAAAAATATGGAAGATAAGCCATGAGCAAAGTTGGGGACATATTTATAGAGACAAACACATATATAATTTAATTTTGAAAACGTATGACCGATTTATATTTTAATTAAACCCAACATTAGTTTCCTGAGTGAAATTTGGTTTTCAGTTTGGGCAAATGAAGACCTTTCTGTGGTTAAAAGGATTCTTTCTTCTCCGTTTCTTCATATGGACCTGTGCTGGGGATTGGTCAGCTGTTCAAGTGCAATGCACTCAGTTTTGGTTCTGTGCCAGGATTAAACCTACGATATTTCACATTTCATATATAAACCCCGATGAAGTGTTTCTAGGAGATGGCTGCCTCATAACCTATATTTTGCCAAATGTTTACTATGAATTTCACCACCATCCTCTTGAAGGTGGTATTGTAACTAAAACTCTTCAGGACATTCTACTTAAAACTAAAATCACGTATATCTCAAGAAACTCCTTTCTGATTTGAAATGCCTCTGTCATGTATTGTCTGCAATCAGCCTCCTCTTTAAAAGAAAGTAGAAAGGACAGATGAGGAAACTGATAGTGTTACTGCATGGGAGACAGAGGTGAGGATACACATGGCGGATGAAAACATGGAAGTTATTTCTACAGCACGATCTTGTAAGTGTCTGACTGCTATGCTCCCTTGTATATCAAATGATGTACCTTTATTGCAAGAGAAGATAGTGCGCTGTTTACCTTGACATTGAGAGGCAATTTTGAATCTCTGTCGTGATTGTTTAGGACTGAGGATTTAATGTGCTATTTTGTGGAAATCTTAGAAGCAGTAATGGGATTTAATGATCTTAACTATCATCCTTCTGAAAAATCTAACGCGATTTTAAATAAAATGGCCGGCTGCTTCCACCGTTCCCTTTTTAAACCAGGAGCTGCCGTTGCTTTTAACATTACGAAGTTGAATCTATGAATAGTTTGTACTATTAACATTTTTTTAAAAATCCACATTGACTTGAAGTGTACAGGCAGAGTTGGAAATTATAACATCCAAAGTTATAATACATAAGTAAAACCCAAAATAAAATCAACTGCTGCCCTGGAACCTATTATAAATAATCGAGACAGTAATATGGAATTGTAAAGAAAAATAAGAAACATATTTACTCATAAAATCTTGCAAGCAAAGTTTTTTTCTTTTTTTGAGACAGAGTCTCACTCTGTCACCCAAGCTGAAGTGCAGTGGCGAGACGACGGCTCATTTCAACCTCCGCCTCCTGAGTTCAAACCATTCTCCTGCCTCAGCCTTCACTGAGATTACAAGCACCTGCTACCAGACCAGGCTACCTTGCATATAAACTTGATATATCATTTATGAAAATACTTTTTAGATAACTAAAATATTCTACTGTGACTGTGCATTCATGAAGTTCGGGTATCTTGAATCATTGGCATGCAGTGTGTGACAGTAAAATTTCACAGAAAATACACTGTAACCATTAATAAAAGGCCCTAATAAGAGAATTTTAATGCATAAGAATTGAAAAGACACCATAAATAATTTCCGTTGTATTTTTAATACACTGATGCTATTCTTACACAAAGTAAAAAGGCTGGGTAAGTTGTGGTGGCTCACACCTGTAATTCCAGCAATTTGGGAGGCCGAGGTAGCAGATTGCTTAAGCACAAGAGTTCACAACATGCCTGGGCAGGATAGGGAGACCCTGTCTCTGCAAATAATAATAAACAGCCAAGTGTGTTAATACACATTTGTGGTCCCATCTGCTCAGGAGGCTGAGGCAGGAGAATTGCCTGAGCCTGAGTGGTCAAGGCTAGAGTGAGCTGTGATTATGCATTGCATTCCAGCCCAGGTGACACAGTGAGACCCTGTTTAAAGAAAAAAACAAACAAAAACTAAAAATTAACCAGGAGTAGTGGCATGCACCTGTACTCCCAGCTACTTCAGAAGCTGAAGTTAGAAAATCATTTGAGCCTGAGAGTTTGAGTCTGCAGTGAGCCATAATTGAGCTACTGAACTCCAGTCTGTGTGACAGAGCAAGGCCTTGTCATAGATAGATAGATGATAGATGATAGATAGATAGATAGATAGATGGAATACACCTGGAGAAAGAGTAAATTTTAATGTAGTGTGATGTAATTTTTAAAATAAACTTTATGTGTGTATCACTTAGAAATTTATAGAACAGGCCGGGGGCGGTGGCTCACGCCTCTAATCCCAGCACTCTGAGAAGACGAAGTGGGCAGATCAGGGGGCCGGATATCGAGACCAAGACCATCCTGGCTAACACGGTGAAACCCTGTCTCTACTAAAAATACAAAAAATTAGCCGGGTGTGGTGGCGGGCAACTCTAGTCTCAGCTACTCGGGAGGCTGAGGCAGGAGAATGGCGTGAAACCGGGAGGCAGAGCTTGCAGTGAGCCGGGATCGCGCCGCTGCACTCCAGCCTGGACAACAGAGCGAGAGTCTGTCTCGAAAAAAAAAGAAATTTATACAACTTAGCCAGAAGAATAAAAAACAACCTCTTAACAGTTTTTTCAAATAAAAAAAGTGAGTTTGAAGAGAAGGGAATAAAGGGGACTTTCAGTTTAATGTGTTTTTTATTTTTTGAGTCAGGGTCTCACTTTGTTGCCCACATGGAAGCGCAGTGGTGTGATTTCAGCTCACTGCAAACTTGGCCTCCCAGGCTCAAACAATCCTCCCACCTCAGCCTCCCTAGTAGCTGGGAATACAGGTGTACATCACCACAACTGGTTAATTTTTGTATTTTTGTAGAGAGAGGGTTTTACCATGTTGCTCACACTGGTCTTGAGCTTCTGGGCTCAAACAATTCACCTGCCTTGGGCTCCCAAAGTGCTGGGATTGAGCCACTAGGCCAACCAAGTTTTTTGTTTGGTTTTGTTTTTGAGATGGAGTCTCACTCTGTTGCCCAGGCTAGAGTGCAATGGCACGATCTTGGCTCACTGCACCATTTGCCTCCTGGGTTCAAGTGATTCTCCTGCCTCAGCCTCGTGGGTAGCTGGGATTATAGGCACCCGCCACCGAGACCAGCTAATTTTTGTATTTTTTAGCAGAGATGGGGTTCCACCATGTCAGCTAGGCTGGCCTCAAATTCCTGACCTCATGATCCACCCACCTCGGCCTCACAAAGTGCTGAGATTACAGGCATGAGTCACTGCTCCCGGCGACCAGCCAAGACTTTTACTTTATAAAGATATTTATGATGTTTTCTTTTCTTTTTACAGTACGCATTGCATTTATAATTGGAGATACAAAAAAAGGTGACTGTTACTGTTTGACAGCAAGGCAGTAGTATTATCTTCATCAATATTTGCAACTTAATTCGCAGGAACCTGTAAGAGAAAGCCCAGACAAAACTTTAAGGCAAAGAAGTTACACTTGTAAAAAATGAGAGGACTATTTTTTTATAATAACAAATATTCCAGGTGAGGACTGGTCAGGATCTACCACTGCTCCATCTCACTTGATAAGTCTCATGCCTGCCAGGGTAAGAAGGAGCAGAGAGAAGGACAAATGCCAGTGAGTTTCCTCTCCCACTAAGGATCTGTTTGTCAAGTTTCCTACCATCAAGTGGAAGATGTACTAAAAATAAAATGTACCCTTGCAGATGCTAGCAGAGAGGCACAAAATAGAAAAGGAGGTAAGCCCATATATTGTGGAGAAAGAGATCCAACTTAAGATTCAAAATGCACCAGAAAGCTGTGTAAAGTTAATAAAATTACTCAAAATCTTGGAACATTTGTTTCCTCACCTGTAAAATGGGGATCATGTGCCTACTTCATAAGTTGTTTTGACAGTTAAATTCACAGAGATATTTAATAGAGCCTGCTATGGCAAGTGTTCACATTAACAAAGTAGTATCAAACTTCAAAATATGGGAAAGGTATTTTGAATAATGTCTATGAGGCCAAGGACAACATGCCCAGCTTCACAATCAATCCCAGCCACATTACACTGAGGAGATCTACAGGCAACTATATTTCTTCAACAAATTCCATTAGAGAGGAAGAGTGTGTAGTCTGAAAACATGACACAAATGTGACCAGTGTACAGTGACTTAGGTAGTCGGGGGTGGAATCCCTACATATTCTCTGAATTGCAGCTACACAGTGAGTTCCCAGGAAACAAATGGAATAGAAAAGGTGACACAAAATATACTACCATAAATGGGGTGAGCATAGCAGGTTCACAACCACAAATGTAAGCAGGAGACTCAAATCACCAGGAGCACCTAGATCTGTGAACAGCAGCTTGTGGTGGCATCAGGTTCAACTTTCTGAGACCACCGGTGTGGGCAGTGTCTTTGCAGGCACATACTCGGCAGCAGTGTATCTGAAGACAGATCTCAAGGCTCTTCTCTTCACTAATTATTAAGATGATAGATGATGGATACCCTCACGTTACAACATCCCCACTAACGCTGTGGACAAGTGAATTCAGAAACCCACACCTAAATACACAGTGAAGAGTAGGATGAGAATACTGCAGGATAGGTTAGGAATGCAGGCATTCGACCCCATAGAGTCTATTTAAAATAAGAGAAGGGCCCTAGTATTGTGCTGTGGTCCTCCTATATATAGTTCTTTATTTTTCCAATTTCATAAAGGCCATACAGTTTTTCTTCCTTTCTTCACAAATGTGCTGATGAACCCATGAGTAATTCATCCTGAAGGGGTTAATTCCTCATAAAGTACAGTAACGTGATTCAATTGCTATGATGAGGTTTTTCAGGATTTTTTTATAGTGTCCCATACTCACCGATCACAAGTGAAAATTATAAGAACATGTAATTTGAACAAAGTATTCTTTTCACATAGAGAAATACACAGGTTTATACAGATTAGATGCATCATCAAAGTTGGTAACATCTGGGAACAAAAGGAACTATCCTGAGGACATAAGGAACTTAGGGACGTCGATTATTAAGAGGCTACCTGCAAGTGGAACTTCTGGGTTTTCATTGTCTAGACAGAAAAATTTAACTCATAAGCCCCAGTATATTAAGGTACATCCCCAACGGCTGTGGGGGATCAACTTTCCATCCAAAGCAGAGATGTAAAACATGAATGACTTCAAATGCGGCTCAAGTGCTCTGCACCTTGAAAGTCATCCCCACAAAGCTGGAGCACCACCTGTTCCTGAGGGATGAGGTCACCAACTGCTTTTTTGAGACACTCGTCAGTCAGGACTCAGTTGAGATGAGGCTGGTGATTTCAACTGTAAAATATCTAAACCATCGTCTTTAGGTAGATTCTTATGCCTGGGAATTGTGGTTTTCTCCTCTGCTGTTAGCAGATCCTGAGTAACCCAAGAAATACCCGCTCTCACCCGTCAAGTTCTATATCACAAGAAAGGCGCTGCAGACGGTGACATTTTCACGAAGGAGCCACAGCCCGCATCACCCCCTGAAAGCTCTGAAGTTGCGCACGGGTGGGTCACGCAGCAGGTGGATGTCTCAGTTCCCATAGAGTTTAGCAGAGCAGGCGGCTCCCTGGGCTGGAAGAGGTGCGATGCTCTGGAAACCCCCCGCGGGTGTGTATGTGAGAGGACACCGAGATGTTCAGCGGGCTGTTCAGTGAGGACCAGACCCCTCCGATTTGAGCAAGGGAGGTGCACTTCGCAGGGTCACACCGTCCTCATCGCCCAGCCTAGACCTGCCCCTCAAGTCCTTCTGCGGACTCCCTTGGCGAGGGGGTGGCACAGAATCAGCATGTGGCATCGCTTAGGAAAGGACGAGTCCACACCGCCCTGTCCCTCCCTCCAGGGCTGCGCACCACGGGGTAGGACAGACAGCGCATGCTGGTTTTGTAGTTAGCAGGTCGGCGACCAATGGGCTGGAAACCGTTAAGACACCATAACTCCCAGCACTCCTAGCTAGGGACGCGCCTCCCTATCCTTCGCTTCCATACTACACACCGCCCCCAAACCCAGCGCATGCTGAGATTGTAGTCCGTTAGCCTCGCGACCAATGGGCTGGAAATACTGAAAGGACTATGACTCCCAGGATGCTTTGCGAGGTACCCGCCGTCCCGATCCTTCCTCTAGGGCTGCGCACCGCCCCCAAGCCCAACGCATACTGGGATTGTAGTCAGGTAGTCCTGGGACCAACTGACTGGAAACTGTTAAGAGACCATAACTGCCAGCACGCCTGGCTAAGGACGCACCTCCCTATCCTTCCCTTCAGTGCTACACACCGCCTCGAAGCCCGGTGGCTGCTGGGATTGTAGTCTGCAGGCCGGGGGCCATCGCTGGAAACCGTTAAGAGACCATAACTCCCAGCATCCCTGGCCAGGGACGCGCCTCTCTATCCTTCCCTCCAGCGTTACACACCGCCCCAATCCCGGTGCATGCTGGCATTGTAGTTCGGTAGCCTTGCGATCAACGTGCTGGAAACTGTTTAAGGACTATGACTCCCAGGACGCCTTGCGAGGGACCCACCCTGTTGACCCTTCCTCCAGGGCTGGGAACCTCCCTTAAGCCCAGCGCATGCTGGGATCATAGTCCGACTGCCGCGACAGAAAGGCTGGGAGTGGATCTGAGACTACAGTTCCAACACTACGGGGAAAATTTCATCTTCTCTGAGACTACAGTTCCAACACTGAGGGGATAATTTCATCTTCTCCTCCGCCCCTCCATGTTTCCAGTGCAATTCCGCCCTGCTGAGGGGAGCCTATCTGTTCCCAAACTTCTGCGTGCGAGGAGACAGCGTGGCCAGGGCAGGTGGTCTCACTTGTAATTGTGGCACAGTCTCCCCACGTGCCAGTTGTACGACTATTTGTGCCTGAAGTTTGATTTCTCTCTGACAAGACAGAGCCCGGGAGCCTCCAACAGCCTGCCCAGCGTTGCTGTAACGCTTGCTTTCGGGGAGCTGGGCGCGCCCAGACCTTTGCAGGGCCCCTCCCTCAGCCCCGACCCTTCTCCTCGCCCCTCCCCTGCCACGCCCCTTTCGACATGCTGGAAAGTCATCTACCTTTAATAACAGTCATCTTTGCAAAAAAAAAAAAAAAAAAAACTCTGAGAATAACCTATCTCCCATTCTATTTAGTATTTATTTCCATAGTATCCATAAATAGTAGCAATTAGATATCACAGCAAGTCAAGCAAAAGCCCTGCCTTGCCTGTTTCATAAACCACGATATGGCCTTGCTGTGGTTTTATTTGTATTTTGTTTTGTATTTATTGACCTTTTGGATATAAATATTTAGGTATTTGGACAGTTTTTGGAAGTATTCCGCTATTAGTTGTTGATTTACTTCTGTTCCCTATTTAATTATTTTTTGTCTCTCCCTTCTCCTTAGACTCAGTCATTCCACAGGTCTCGAGAGTTCTGTTCATTTCCTTTAAACTTTTTGTACTTTTTTTTTTCCAGACTGGATAATTTCTATTGCTGTGTCTTCTGTTTTAAATCTATGGCTAAACTCAAAAGATTTTTTTCATTTCCTTATCTATAATTTTTTTATATATATGTTCATTTCTCTGCTGAAGTTCCACATCTGTTTGTTTATGAATAGAATATTTTCTTTTTTCCCCATGAACATATTCATAAAAACTGCCTTCAAATTCTTGTCTGCTGATTGCAACATCCTGGGATAGCTTCTACTGCCTGCTTTTGATATTGTGTATGGATGACATTTTCACGTTTCTTTACAAGTCTTATGAATTTTAAAATTGTGCACTAGAAACTATAAATGATAATTATAGAATAGAAACTCTGGATTTTGCTGTTTTACCTTGAAGACTTTTGTTTTATAAACAGGGTTCATTGGGCTAGTGTCAAACCAATGCTTATGTCCGCTACAGTGGGTATAGCTGAAATCTTCATTCAGTTGTTAAACACACATATCATATATGTATTATGCATAGGCGTTTTTCTATAATAATATATTTTATTCAAGTTTCATCATTGTTATTTGTGAGAGTTCAACAAGCTAGTCCACACTTAGTGGAAGTCAGAACCTCAGTTTTATTTGATTGTAGCATTTTATATAAACAAAATTATATAGTATGTATACTTGTACATCTGTTTTCTTTATTTCCTTTTCTGTTTTCTTTCTTTCTTTCCTTTTCTGTCTTCTTTCTTTCTCTCTTTCTTTCCTTCTTTCTTTCTCTCTTCTTTTTTCTTTCTTTCTTTTCCCCAGGTTGGTGTGCAGTGGCATGATCTCACTGCAACCTCTGCCTACCAGGCTTAAGATATCCTTCCACTTCAGCCTTTTGAGTCACTGGGACCGCAGCCTTGCACCACCATGCCCGGCTAATTGTTTTGTATTTTTGGTAGAGACAGGGTTTCACTATGTTGCCCAAACTGGCATGTCTGCTTTCTTTTATGCAACATTACATTTGTGATATTCACCCACCAGTTGCAAATAGCTATAGTCTGTTCATTTTAGAAAGTAGTTTTTACCTTTTAGTAAAATATAAAAATACATGAAATTAACCATTTTATTATTTTTTTTGTGTGCAGTTTAAAGAAATTAAATACATTCACATTGTTTTGCAACCATTGTCCAAGTTCATAAGGAACTGTTTTTCAATCTTTTAAAAGTGAAACTCTGTACCCAGTAAACAACACTCCCCTTCCATTGCCCTTTGTGTAGTCCCTGGAAACTACTCTTCTACTTCGTGTTTCTATGAACTTAACTGCTGTAAATATCTCATATGAGTGGAAAGAGACAATATAGCAAAAAAATCATGAGGAAGAATAATATATACTATATAACATATGTTTATCCATTTTAAGAAAAATGCTAGCAGAGATCAGGTCATGGTGTTTATAGAGAAAGGTAGGTAACAGTGAAAAAGGGATTGGTTGCATTAAATTTACGACGTGATGCCTCAAGTGCCAGAGTAGTGAGCTTTCTGCCCCACTCGCAGGGCTGGTCAATGGTGTGGCTGGAACCCTACTTGAGCTGCCTGACTGCCAGAGCCCATGCTTAGTACAAACTTCAATGAGCCATGAAAGCAATTCCAACAACAGGCACTTAATGGCTCTGAGATTTTATCACAGCCTGTTCTTCATGGCTAGCAACTTCAGAGAAGAGTGACAGCTGTGAGGTTCCAGAAGCCACACCTCAGGTCCCCCAGTTCCTCCCCAGCAGCTGGAGTCCAGGTGCAACAGGACCTGATGCCGGCCAGGGAACCATGGCCACACGCTGTGTGAGGCTGGCGGCAAGACAGTCTCCCCTCCTACCCTCTGCTCATCTGCTAGGTCTTTGCCTTTTATTCTGATTGTGCTGCTCCAGGCTTGGAACAAAGCCCGAAATTCCTCTTGAGTCTGAAGATGATGATGGTTTCCAGCTGTGTGGAACTGCTGCATCTCCTGGAGGACTTTAATCTTCTGGAAACAGAGGGAAAGACAGGATGCTGACAGGGCCTGGGTGAAAGACTCTGTAGGGGCCTTATAAAAGAAGGGAGGAGGGCTGGTCTCTGAGGTGTTTCTTTTAAGGGGCTCTCACCTCCCCTCCAATATCATGCAGCCCTAACTGGTTCTCAGAGTTGAATGTAAACGGCCCTTCCTCTAGGAAGTTGTCATCAACTTCACTCCCCTGATTGCACCCTGCATTAGGATAGGTCTCCTCCTTCTCTGTGTATTACTCCCTTTCAATAAATCTTAGATGCGGAAGAAGGGACCAGGGAATGTCCTGCCCAGGGTGATTTCTCATTTCCACCTCCACCCTCCCTCAAAGTGAGGACTTCAGCTACTGCTCACCTTTCTGTTTTTCTGGGTTTTGATCACATTTCTCTGGAAGACAGAAAGCCAAAGACCATCAGAAAGGTCCGCTGGTCCATAACTAGCCTCCATTTCCAGCGATTTCCAAGCTTCACCACTACCAGAGCCACCAGGGTCAGGGAATGTGCACAAAAGAGGTCTTGCAGCTCTGCAGCTTCACTACTCAGGGAGTGGGACTGATGGCTGCTGTGGAGCCTCCATCACTCATGAGTAAAATACCCTGTTTACGGGATGGGGAGGGCTGCGAGGCCCTCGCAAAAAATTTTGGCAAGGACTGAGATCTAGGAGCTCAGTTCAAGACTCTCTTCTCCCAGGCCTCAGGATCCTGGTCCCTGACCTGTCTTCTCCAGGCTCACTCACATCCACACACTCCTTCATGGCAATGTCCAGCATCACCACATCAGTGAGGAATGTCCCCAGAGAGGGCATGACTTGGGAGGTGCCCACCCAAGTCCTGTCCGCTGAACTCTTATAAACCCCTGCCTCCTGGCGCCCTCTACCTAGGTTACCCACTTGGAGTAGCTGAGAACCCTCAGCTGCCTTTTCCCAATTCTCTATGTCTTCCCATTAGCTGGCCTCTATTGCCACCAACCTCACCATAATTACCTCCTTGGTGGGATTTTAACAAGCCACAAGGTCATGTGGTCCCTGGCTCCACCTGTTTTAAAAGCCACACGGAGCCCAGCTCTCCCAGGCCTTGCTCTGGTCTGTCTAATGAAGGTGTTTTAGGCACTGCAGCCCCAGGAGAAAAGGGCTGGAGTAGAAAGGCCCTCTGCTTTTTTGATTTGGAGGTTTCCAGCTGGGAGAAGTAAGCTCTGTTCTCTGAAACCCTGGAGCCCTTCCCCATCACAGACACATTCACCTTCTGCTGTCACAGCCTCATCTAAGCTCTCTGAGGCTCCGCTACAGGGTAGACAACTTGTACGGTGTTCACCTGCTAGGATGAGGGACAAGGTCAGTGAAAATATGCTTCTTTCAGTTACGCCTCAGCCACACTAACCTTGGACACGGATAAGTGGCCTGAGTCAGCTTGTCCAATGCTCTGACCATCTCCAGTAAGCTCTGACTCTAGACTCACTCCCAGGTCCAACACTCCCTGGATGTGTCATTTTGGGCATGCAGTCGGGTTTCCCTGAGCTGTTTCCTCAACTGGAAAGTGTGGTGGGAACCAACCACCTCACAAGGCCTCTTACCACCTCGGTTTCATGTGGTTGTCATGATTGCTGTCACCATCTTCCCTCTCAGGATGAGCCAGACACAAGCACCCTCAGATTCTCTGTCTCCCTGAGCCCCATCACCACCTTGTGAGGCCTGCCCAACAGGCTCATCATTCCTACATTTTCCACATAAGAAAACAGAGGCCCAAAGCGGCAATGACATGCCAAGGACCCCACAAGAGAGGCCAGCTCCTCCCTCAACCTAGAGGGACTGTCCCGGCTGCCTTCACCTAACACCCTAGCATCATCACTGACCAGCATTCCATCTTCTAAACTCTATGAGTGACAATATTCCCAGCCAGGCCCTGTGGCAGTGGACATGGTTCTGAGAATTGGGAATCTAATGTGGAGGAAAAGTTAAATATTTAATATGAACTCAATTGAACATGGGCACAAACAATGGTCACGAAGTCCTGGAACAGGTTGCATGAACCCCTTGAGGTGTTCATCCAGCGCTGTTTCAGAGAAATCTTTCAATCCATTCCTATACATTAGTTATTGAAAAAACAACAGACAATTGCAAAAACAAGTTGATCTTTTGTGTTCCTTGAGCCCAGTTGTGAAGGGCACCTGTGACTGCGCCTCATGCCAAACAACACATTACAAAAAGAGCTAGGGTCCCAGACTGTGCTGAAGTTTCATGAGACCTCTCCTCATCTGTGCATGGACACGTGGCTGACTCTGGAGCCCAGGCTGTTGCTTCCCAGTCTGGTAATGAATCCTCCATAGTCTGGTGCGTGTAAATATACATATACATATATGTATATTTATATACATGTATATGTATATAAATATACATATATATATTTTCTTTCTGTCCTTCCCATTGCAATTTGCTTATTATATTATTTGCTTATCAAGTCTGTATTGCCATACACTTGGGATAAAGGCTATTTATCCTTAAAACTATTGTGGGTGCCTTTTCTTTTCCCCTCGTTCATTTCCCGCACCGGAGCCCAGGTGATGGAATCTCGAAGTGACCTCACTTCCTTAGTTACAAACTCAAAGAAAGTTTAGAACTCTGGTAACCTGGAGCCCTAATTCTAGAGACAGCTTTGTATTTACTAAGGAGACTCTGAAGACAGCAAGATGTTCTCCTGCTATGTCTTGAATTTCTGAGGCTCTCATCTCAGGAAGGCTTGAACAGAGAGACTTTTTTTTATGATGGAGACAGTGCTCATTCTGCACTGCTGGCTCTTCTGGCCATTTGGAAAGGGTTACCCATAGATAACACAAGGCCACCCATGGCAGGCCTATCCAGGCCAGGCCTCACCTTTGATATCATCTCGGCAGGCACACACCCCTCCTCATCTCCACGTCTCGTGGGAAAGAAAGAGATAATGGGTCCTTTCTTGGCAGGAGCAGGTTTCCAGGTATTGGGAGGCTAAAAGCCTGTCAAATTTATACCGCAGGTTACAGTTGGCAGGAGGGGAAGGTGAGTGCTGGGGGTCACCTTTGTTTGTTCAGACATTTATTCTAAGGCTTCAAGCTGTCCTCTTGTTTTCTCCCTGGCTGGAGGTCTGCGCAAATGCTCCTATGTGCCTGATCTGGGGAGTAGACTTTCTAACTGGAATTTCCCCTGTGGGGAAAGCCAGGATGCCATTGATGCCTCTTGGCCAGGCTTCCAGGCACTCTCTTTGCAGAACTCTATTGAGGAGATCCCTGAGGAGCTGTTTGATGAGTCCAACTACTCCATCTCATTGAACAAAAGGCAGGTGCATCATGCCAACAACCATGGCCCGTGCTAGTCTGGAGTCAAGGTGGGCACAGAGAGGTCTCCAAATGGAAAAGACCAGGGAAGCCCAGGACCCTGACCCAAATGTGAGGATTCCCCAGAAACCGTTTTAGGGCTTTCTCCATTAAGGACCCACAGTTCCTTCCCAGAGGAATTTGGCCTCCATTAGTCCATAATGGCAACTTAGGTGCACAGTCCCTGGTCATATGCTTGCAGGAATGTCAAAAGAAACACTTTTGTGTTGTTATTACTTTACATTAAGTTGTGAGTATCTTTGCATTTTGCTATTATTTTTATTGTTATATCTACCTACCCCACATACTTCCTGGAGCAGGCAGCTTCGCTGCCTTGCCAGACCTTCTCTAAGTCTTAGAAGTTCACACTGTTACTAGAGAGAGGTTTCACCCAAAAAGTGGGAGTTATGCAAAAGGGTCTTATATGACTCTTTACATATGTGTCCCAGAGCCCACCTCTATAGCCCCATCAGGACAGGAGCTGTGTCCTCATATGTCTTTATAAGATTCCATAAGTGGGGCCTTTCCCTCAGTAATTTAGGCTTTTAATACTGGTGGAGCCTGACATAATAAATTCTATTTCCACTTCAGCCATGCTACAGGGAATATCTTTTTTTTTTTTTTTTTTTTTTTGAGACGGAGTCTCGCTCTGTCGCCCAGGTGGGAGTGCAGTGGTGCAGTCTCGGCTCACTGCACTCTGCCTCCTGGGTTCACGCCATCTTCCTGCTTCAGCCTCCTGAGTAGCTGGGACTACAGGCGCCTGTCACCACGCCCGGCTAATTTTTTTTCTCTGTGTGTGTGTGGTTTTTTTTTTAGTAGAGACAGAGTTTCACCGTGTTAGCTAGGATGGTCTCGATCTCCTGACCTCGTGATCCACTCGCCTCGGCCTCCCAAAGTGCTAGGATTACAGGTGTAAGCCACCGCGCCCAGCCGCTACAGGGAACATCTTATCTGTGTCCTAATAGGCTGTAACGCTTTGCTATGACTTCCCTAATACAGTACCACAGGCTGAAGTTCTTTAACAACAAAAACTGAATGTCGCACAATTCTGGAAGTTAGAAATCCAACCTCAAGCTACTGGCTGTGTGGTTTCTCTGAGGTCTCCATCCTTGGCTTGTAGATCGTCATCTACTATATCTGTGTTCACAAGATCTTCTCTTGTGCTTTTCTGTCCTTCCTGCCTCTTCTAATAAGGGCTCCAGTCATCTGGAATTAGGATACACCCCAATTAATTCACTTAAACCTAACTACATTTGCAGAGGCTATATGTTCAAATATAGTCATGTTCTGAGGCACTAGGTGTTAGGACATGAACATATAATTTTTAGGAAGGGAATGCAATCTAGCTCACAACATTTACTAATCCCTTGTAGATTATAGTCTCCCAGGAAAATGATTACTCAGTGAAACAGTAGGAAAGTGTAAAGGTTTAATAGGAGAAGCCGGAATATATTCCAAAAGGGTTGTGAAAGCCGTACTGTAAATAGTAGTTTCTGAATTTATCTGCTTTTATGTATCCAGAACCTCTTGGTTGTCAACATTCTTTTAATTTTTTTGTCAATCTGCTATCTATGTGGCAAAAAAACATGTTTCTATTTCAATTTTTCAACTGATATATTTGAGTTACCTTTCAGTTGATTTATACTTATTTGAGTTTTCTGTTCCCTCAGTTAATCCGCTCAATTCCTTGGCCCTGTGAGGGGTTTCTCTCACCTTGGAGTCCCCAAGCACTGACACCTTTGTCAGGTGTGGGGTTGCTGTAGTTATTTCTCAACACTCCCTTTAAGGTTTTAAAAGACCCAGTTCAGTTGCTTTAAGTCAAAAGGGTTGTCTTAGGGTATCTTATCCTGTGCCCTGTCTCTAAAACAGAAAGAAAGTGAGCCTTCCCCATGCCCTTCCCCCTAAGTCAGGGACAGACATAGAGCCTCAGGTAGCTTAAAGGGAATTTCATGCAACCCCCACCGTGGAAGATTCTCTTTCTTACTTGTGTTTTTCTGAGCAGCCATTTGACATCACAAAGCTTTATTTTCTCATTTGTAGGCTGAGTATGTTTTTTTGGGAATTCTCTGGGATAATGCTCTTCATAAAGATTATTAATACAAGTGGGTGCTGTTGTCTTACAGCTGATATGATATCGTGAAGGCCTTGACTGTATTCATGGATTAATTATTCTCTACCTCCACATTAAATTTGATATCAGAGGCCTAAAACCTTTTTCACCATAAACACCCATGTCCTCCACATGCCCAAGTCTCTGAAGGATGGAGATTTCCTCATCCAAGCTCCACATTCCAAGCCTCTGGTGTTTCATGGTCTTGCCATGAAAAGTCTTGTCCCCTCCCCAAGAGGAAATGAGTCTATTCTTAACCTAGAGGTGTGAATGATGCCAATGCGCCAAACCAGGCACAACGGAGAAGCTGACGAAGTCCCTGACAGCAGCCTTCCAGGGTCAAACTCTCTTCTTTTTATCATTTTTCTCAAGTTTTACCAGGACTTCCTCACCACTCTGTAGTTCCTGGACCAGCTGTCTAGTAGTTGAGCATATGTCTTCTCCAAGGCACAGTGGTGACTCTGCCAGCTACTAACTGTGTCTTAGCATACCAGTGCATCTTTATCAGCCTCAATTTGCATCTTTATAGAGAATTGTAAAATGAACCTCTGTTCTGTACGAGAGACATGCAAGGGGAGAAGAAAACACACCCAAAAAAACCTTTAAGGGTAAACAAGCTTTATCTGACGTAAATGGCAGTGCAGCTATAATAAGCAAATTGCAATGGGAAGGGGAGAAGGGAAACATATATACATATTTACGCCCACCAGACTGCGGAGGATTCATTACCAGACCGGGAAGCAACAGCCTCGACTCCAGAGTAGGTCACCCATCCCTGCACAGACAAGAAGAGGTCTTAGGAAGTTTCAGCGTGGCCTAGAGCCCTAGTTCTTTTTGTAATGAGTTGTTTGGCATGAGGCCCAGTCACGAGGGCTCTTCACAACTGGGCTCAAGGAACTTGAAAAGGTTATCTTGTTTTTGCAATTGTCTGTGGTTTTTCAATAACTAACACATAGGAATAGATTGAAATAGATATTTCTCCAAAACAGTGCCAGATGAATGCTTCAAGCGGCTCATGCAACCTGTCTGAGACTTAATGACCATTGCTTTTGTCCATGTTCAATTGAATTCAAATTTAATATTTAACTTTCCCCCACAACCTTATATGTTTTTTGTGAGAAATGAATGGCATACAATATGAAAAGTGGTTTCCTAATGCTCGGCTTTGTGGAAAGCCTGCTGGGGCATGCTCTGATTGTTCGTATTTATTACTTTTTTCTCTTCTTTCACCCCAGAAGGTCTTTCATGTCACAGTGACTCATGTCCCTCTATAATTAGACAATCATATAGAAAACAAACATGTTCTTACATTTGTAAAGGGCACTTGAGCTTCCTGTTAGCTGGACTTTGTCCTTGAAACAGAGAGATCCTGTAGGAAAGAGTCCCCAGGCACACTCAGACATAGCTAAAAAGGTTGTAGTTAGGGCTTATTTATTCATCACATATATATAACGCAGTTTTCCAGACACTTGGCCTAATTCAGTGAAGACAACAGATGACAGTTCCTGGGCCACAATTTACTTCAGGGAGTCAGACACTCAGAGTGGACATTATAAGCAGGTCATGATCACAGAATGTGAGAACTGATGTTCTCATGCTCTCCTCTAGGAATGGATGCACCTGTCAGCTTCTGATCAGAACGACAGACCCAGGATCAAGCATAACATTTAAATAGACGAATAAAACTTTTTTCCAAAAAGGAACATCGCTTTATGATAAAAACTCTCAACAAATTAGGTGTAAAGTAAATTCACTTCAAAGCATTAAAGGCCATGTATTACAAATGAATAGCTGGGCGGGCAGATCTGCCATAAGGCAAGGGCATCCGCTTCCCTAGATACATATCCAGGGGCACAGAGAATGAGCAGTTCCAGGGTTGTGTCTCACATGGGGTCCTCTCCAGGTCGGTTTCAAGAGGACAGGACTGGGGTTCTGTATCCACTTCTGTGGAGAGCTGGAAGTAAAATGAGCTATGCTCCACCTCAGCCTAATGTAGACAATGGCTACAGAGAAGACTGTTTTCTTCCTCATAAATAGGGGTGCTCGAAGTGGGTAACCTTGATTGTTTCACATACTCATAAGTGTCTGCCAGCCTTGATTCTTCATTGGTGAACTAAGACTCTTTGCTCTGAAACTCTGCAGAAATGCTTCTACTCCCTGGAGGCCCTTCAAATCAGAGAGAGGCATGGCCACTCCAGAGGCATTTTGGGTAGATAAAGATGGGATAGAGCTAAACGTGTCAGAACACTGGACCCTGAGTCTGAAGTCATGGGAAAATGCCAGTTCCTGTTGGGTTTTTGAGCTCCTCATTTGAAAGTCGTATTAAATAATTTCCCTGGATAAGGGGAGGGTGCCTCATGAGTAAATGGCACACTCCAAATGGTGGAGGCAAAGAGAGGGCAATGGAGGATTCCAAGGTCACTCAGTGTACTTGGAGCCTTCAGATTCTGCTCCTTTGTCCTCTGGAACTCCAAAGAGTCAGTGTCTTGAGGACACAAAACAATGGTACCTGATTTGTTCCATAATGTTCCTGCATGGGGCTGCAGTGTTAGTGATGGCCTGGAGGTGGTTACAGCCTGCTGTGTTTCTGGTGCCTATTGAGCTTTGCTGGAGCAGCTGGAGCAAGTAAGAGTCACACACCTCATGTTATTATCAACAATTTCCACATTGCCCACTTAGCCAATCTTTTTTCCCTTGCACTCACCCTTTGCCAGCTACCCTGGTGGGTCCAACATGTGGCACAGAAAATGATTACATCATGCCTGCATACCCCTCCAAGGACAGAACAGTCTGAAGTCAGCTCGACAAAAGCACTAAAGCAAGTATATATAAAAGAAAAGAGCAAGGACTATTATATAAAGTAGAATGTTGAGAAGAAGAGCTGCAAAGTCATTGAATGGGGGGACCCAAAGTCCTCACTGAGGTGATCTTTAATCCATGATGAGAATGATAACAGGGAGGCATCTCTGCACAAGAATGTGTCAGTGAGAAGCCACCCTTGGTGAAGAGTCTTACAGGTGTGAGTTTGGCAGAGATTAGAAAGGGACCAATTTGGTACAGACAGCCTGAGGAAGAGATAAGCAGAGGCATGGAGAATCCTGGGGCTTGGGAGATGAGGCTAGATATCTGCTCCTTTCTGACAACATTGCCCTAAAACTTAGCACCTTTCAATAGTATATAGTATCTCACAATTTGTGTGGACCAGAATCTGGACACAGTTTAGTTAGCTGCCTCTGCCTTCAGGTCTCTTATGAGATTGGGGCTGTGGTCTCAACTGAATGTGGACCGGAAAAGCATCAACCTTTAAGCTCATGCTTGTGAAAATTGGCAGGGTTCAGGGTAGACTGAGAGCATGACTTTACTTCTGTCTACTGCCTGAGCACTCCCTCCGTTCTTTGTTATGTGCGTCTGTACATAGAGCATCTCATAGCATTGGAGCTTGCTTCCTCTGTTTGAGGAATACAATTGAGAGACAGAATTAGGCAAACAGTTTCACACAAAGAGACATAAAGAAATGGAAAGACTGAGGAAGCAAATAGGAAAAACCCAGTAGGAGGAATAATGACAGCTTTAAAAAAACTTGAGAGTTACAATAATTTGTATTAAAATTGTAACCCCCAGTGTAATGCTATAAGGAGATAGGTTGTAATTAACTCCTGAGGTTGAGGCCATCATGATTGAGATTACTGGCTTTACACAGGAAACCCCAGAGGGATGTCTGTCTCCTTCTACCAAATGAGAATAAAATTTGATGTGTGCAGTCTGAAATTCAGAAGAGTCATCACCAGAGCTCAACCATGCTGATACCCTGATCTCAAATTTCCAACCTCTAGGAGTGTGAGAAATTAAATCCTGTTGTCTATAAGCTGTCTAGTTCATGGTTCTTTGGTATAGCAGCCTGAACTAATACAAAAGTCATACACTATTCTGTATTCCATTTGACAGAAGCTGAATTTGTGCCTTCAAACTGTTAAAAAAAAAAGACTTAAAAATTGGATATTCAGAATGAAAGATAAGAAACAGCTTGTTGAAACACTTAAATCTCCTCTGCTTATAAGATTTTAAAAAATTGGCTGAAATATGTTGGAAGCAATATGGCCAACTGAAGTCCATGGAGAATGAGTTTGCTGATGTTAGAGCCCAAATTTCCGTTGCATGTTTCATATTAACACTCCCTGAATATTCATGTGACCTGTGAGGAAACAAGAGGAGATGACTGTGCATGTCTCATGACTTTCCATATTACTACTTTCCTTCCAGCAATCCCCTCCTAATCCAGAGCCCACTTCTTAAGCATTTTTTAATCAACACCTTAAAGCCTATATAAGGAAACTGATTTCAGCTGGACTCCTGTCTCCTGTTGGCCAACCTACAACAAGATGCCATTTTTCTCAAAACCCAAGTGCCATACTACTGGCATCGAGCAGTAGGTCATTTTGTTCAATAACAAACTGAGTCACTAACCACCTAGTGCTGGGAGACTTTGTGAAGGCTTTCCCCAACTTAGGTGAGATAAGGCACATGGATATAATTCTATATATAATAAGAAGTCACTAGAAAGTTTAATAGTTGTATTAGTCCATTTTTATACCGCAATGATGGAATACCTGGGACTGGGTAATTTATAAAGAAAAGAGGTTTAATTGACTCACAGTTCCACAAGATTGGGTGGGGGAGGCTCAGAAACCTTCCAATTATGGTGGCCAACAAGTGAAGTGAGTGAGAGCAGGGGATACACCAGAAGCTTATGAAACCATCAGATCTCTTGAGAACTCACTCACTATCACAAGAACAGCATAAGAAAAACCCGTCCCCATAATCCAATCAACTCCCCTCAGGTTTCTCCCTTAACACCTGGAGGTTATAATACAAAATGAGGTTTGGGTGGGGACACACAGCTAAACCACATCAGTGCCAGAGGATGATATCTACATTTAATTTCAACCTCGTACTGCAGCAGAATGAAACTGAAGCCCAGTGGGGAAGTGACTTTCCCAAGATTACACTGCTGGACCCCAGGCCTACCTGAGTTGTGGCCCATGCTACCTCCCACCTATTCTCCTAATGCTTCCATCTCTAAGTGTGTGCATTATTTACATGTGAAACTACACCACGATTTTTACATTTTATCTTATATACATCTGATACATTCCCTAGGAAGTAGATAACATTATCCCCACTGTGCACGCTAGGAGGCTGGGGAAGCCTCAAATACACAGTGACTTTTATTAGGTCCCAGAGATGGTAAGAAAAACAAGGTTATTTTCCAGCTGTCTCTTATATCCTGGAACCCAGGATGCATTTAGGTCTTTCCAGGGAATTAAGGGGAAGTTGTGTTTGCATAATTGTGTACAAATAAAGAGTTGACATGGAAGAGGAGACTGAGCAATCAATAGCATAGTGGGGCCTTTGGGTAGGTCTTATAGAAATAAGGGGCCCAGTAGATGGAACCTTGAAGAGTTTAACACACTTTCCTGGTGACAGAACCCCACAGCAGTTAAGAAACCAGGAACCCACATTCTTGAGACAGCTCTGTATCCACCTCTGTTGGTGAGAGATGCTCAAGAGAGTGAGATGTCCTTTCATTGTGCCTTGATATTTCTGAGTTCTAGCCTTACAAAGCCTCAATGTAAAAGCCTTCTCTGATAACACAGATATCAACTCAGCCCTCATTCCTGATACCCCTGGCCATTGGCCAAGTGCACCTACAGATAACACAGAGCAGCCCAGGACATGTCCATCGAGGCCAGGCCTCTCTCATCATCTCATCTGGGCAGCCCCACACCACTTCTTTGTACCATGAGTTGCAGGATGGACAAAAGAGAGGGCACACTTCTTGGGCAGAAGCCGATTGTCAGGTGTTGGAACTCTTGTGTGTTTGTTATGTTCATATTCAGGTCAGAGCTGGCAGAATAAAAATAAGAGAGTTGGGGAGTGAGTCTGTATACTCAGATGTGAATAGCAAGACTCCAACCTGATCTCTGGTTTCCTTCCTTGCTGGAGATTTATTTATTTATTTATACTTTAAGTTCTGGGATACATGTGCAGAATGTGCAGACTTGTTACATAGTTTTATATTTGCCATGGTGGTTTGCTGCATCTATCAAACTGTCAGCTAGGTTTTAAGCCCCACATATATTAGATATTTGTCCTAGTGCTCTCCTTCACTTTGCCCCCTGACAAGCCCTGATGTGTGATGTTCCCCTCCCTGTGTCCATGTGTTTTCATTGTTCAAATTTCACTTATGAGTGAGAACATGTGGTGTTTGGTTTTCTGTTCCTGTTAGTTTGCTGAGAATGATGGCTTCCAGCTTCCTCCATATCCCTGCAATCTGAGGTCTCTGTTCTGTTCCCTCTGTCTATATATCTGTTTTGGTACCAATATGACTTCCTCTCTTCCTATTTGCATACCCTTTATTTCTTTCACTTGCCTGATTACCCTGGCCAGAACTTCCAATACTATCTTGAATAGGAGTGCTGAGGGAGGACATCCTTGTCTTGTGCTGGTTTTCAAAGGGAATGCTTCCGGCACTTGCCTATTAAGTATGATATTGGCTAGGGGTTTGTCATAAACAGCTCTGATTATTTCGAGACTTTTTCCGTCAATACGTAGTTTATTTAGAGCTTTTAACATGAAGGGATATTAAATTTAATCTAAGGCCTTTTGTGCATCTATTGAGAAAATCCTGTGGTTTCTGTCATTGGTTCTGTTTATGTGATGGATTACATTTATTAATTTGCATACGTTGAACCAGCCTTGAATCCCAGGGATGAAGCTGACGTGATCATGGTGGATAACATTTTCGATGTGCTGCTGGTTTCAGTTTGCCAGTATTTTATTGAGGATTTTTACATCGATGTTCATGAGGGATATTGGCCTGAAATTTTTGTTGCGGTTGTGTCTTTGCGAGGTTTTGGTATCATTATGATGGTGACCTCATAAAATGAATTAGGGAGGAGTCCCTCCTTTTCAATTGTTTAGAATAGTTTAAGAAGAAATGTTACCAGCTGCTCTTTATGCTTCTGGTAAAATTCGGCTGTGAATCCATCTGGTTCTGAGCGTTTTTTTATTGGTAGGCTATTAATTACTGCCTCAATTTCAGAACTTTTTATTGGTCTATTCAGGGATTCAACTTCTTCCTGGCTTAGTCTTGGGAAAGTGTATGTGTCCAGAAATTTATCCATTTCTTCTATATTTTCTAGTTGATTTGTGTGGAGATGTCTATAGTATTCTCTCATGGTAGTTTTTATTTCTGTGGAATCAGTGGTGATATCCTGTTTATCATTTTTTAATGTGTCTATTTGTTTCTTCTTTCTTTTCTTCTTTATTAATCTAGCTAGTGGTCCGTCTCTTTTGTTAATCTTTTCAAAAAACCAGCTAGTGGAGTCATTGATTTTGAACAGTTTTTCTTGTCTCTATCTCCTTCAGTTCTGCTCTGATCTTAGTTGTTTCTTTCCTTCAGCTAGTTTTTGAATTTGTTTCCTCTTGATTCTCTAGTTGTTTTAATTGTGATGTTAGGGTGTCGATTTCAGATCATTCCAGCTTTCTGTTGTGGGCATTTAGTGCTAGCATATCCCCTCTTAAAACTGCTTTAGCTGTGTCCAAGAGATTCTGGTACATTGTCTCTTTGTTCTCATTTGTTTCAAAAAAAACTTAATTTCTCTCTTAATTTTGTCATTTACTCAGTAGTCGTTCAGGAGCAGGTTGTTCAATTTCCATGTATTTATGTGGTTTTGAGTGAGTTTCTTAATCCTGAGTTCTGATTTGATTGCACTGTGGTCTGAGAGACAGTTTGTTATGGTTGCCATTTTTTCCATTTGTTGAGGAGTGTTTTGCTTCCAATTATGTGGTCAATTTTAGAATATGTGCTATGTGGCATGGAGAAGAATGTATATTCTGTTCTTCTGGCATGGAGAGTTCTGTAGTTGTCTATTAGGTCCGCTTAGTCCAGAGCTGATTTCAAATCCTGAATATCCTTGTTAATTTTCTGTCTCATTGATCTGTCTAATATTGGCAGTGGGGTGTTAAAACTTCCCAGTGTTATTGTGTGGGAGTCTACGTCTCTTTATAGGTCTGTAAGAACTTGTTTTATGAATCTCAGTGCTCCTCTGTTGGGTAGGTATATATATAGGATAGTTAGCTCTTCTTGTTGCATTGATCCCTTTACCTTTATGTAGTGCCCTTCTTTGTCTTTTTTCATCTTGGTTTAAAGTCTGTTTTACAAGAAACTAGGATTGAAACCTTGCTTTTTTTGTTGTTGTTGTTGCTTTTTTTGCTTTCCATTTGCCATTTCTCCTTCCCTTTATTTTAAGCCTATGTGTGTCTTTGCATGTGAGATGTGTCTCCTGAATATAGCACACCAAAGATTCTTGACTGTTTAACCAATTTGCCAGGCTCTGTCTCTTAATTGAGGTATTTAGCCCACTTATATTTATGGTTAATATTGTTATGTGTGAATTTGATCCTGTTATCATGATGCTAGCTGGTTATTTTGCACATTCGTTGATGCAGTTTTTTCATAGTATCGATTGGTCTTTATATTTTGGTGTGGTTTTGCAGTGGTGAACCATATTTTCCTTTCCATATTTAGTGTTTCCTTCAGGAGATTTTGTAAGGCATGCCTGGTGGTGACATAATCCCTCAGCATTTGCTTGTCTGTGAAGGACTTTATTTCCCCTTTGCTTTTGAAGATTAGTTTGGCTGGATATGAAATTCTGAGTTGAAAATTATTTTATTTAAGAATGTTGAATATTGGCCCCCACTCTCTTCTGGCTTCTAGAGTTTCTGCAAAGAGATCTGCTGTTAGTCTGATGGGCCTCCATTTGTAGGTAACCTGACTTCTCTCTCTGTCTGCCCTTAACATTATTTCCTTCATTTCAACCTTGGAGAGTCTGGCGATTATGTGTCTTGGAGTTGCTCTTCTCGAGGAGTATCTTAGTGATGTTCTCTGTATTTCCTGAATTTGAATGTTGGCCTGTCTTGCTAGGTTGAGGAAGTTCTCCTGGATAATATCCTAAAGTTTGTTTTCTAGCTTGGATCCATTCTTCCCGTCACTTTGAGGTATACCAATCAATCGTAGGTTTGGTCTTTTCACATAGTCCCATATAACTTAAAGGCATTGTTTAGCTCCATCAGGCCATTTATGTTTCTCTCTAAGCTGGTTATTCTAGTTAGCAGTTCCCATAACCTTTTATCAAGATACTTAGCTTCTTTGCATTGTGTTAGAACATACTTCTTTAGCTCAGAGGAGTTTATTATTACCCACCTTCTGAAGACTACTTCTGTCAATTCTTCAATCTCATTCTCCATCCAGTTTTGTGTCATTACTGGAGAGGTGTTGTGATCATTTGGAGGAGAAAAGGCATTCTTGTTTCTGGAATTTTTGGCATTTTTGTGCTGTTTTTTCCTCATCTTCATGGATTTATCTACTTTCAATCTTTGGGGCTGATGACATTTGGATGGGGTTTTTTTTGGGTGGGTCCTTTCTGTTGATGTTGATGTTGTTGCTTTCTGCTTGTTAGTTTTTCTTCTAACAGCAAGGTTCTTCTGCAGGTCCAGTGCAGTTTGCTGGAGTTCCAATCCAGACCCTGTTCACCTGGGTGTCACCAGTAAAGGCTGCAGAACAGCAAAGATTGCTGCCTTCTCCTTCTTCTGGAAACTTCATCCCAGGAGGATACCCGCCCAATGCCAACTGGAGCCCTTTTGTATGAGGTGTCTGTCAACCCCTGTTAGGAGGTTTCTCCCAGTCAGGAGTCACGGGGAACCCACTTGAGGAGACAGTCTGTCTCTTAGCAGAGCTGGTGCACTGTGCTGGCAGAATCCCTCTAGTCAAAATCAGCTGCTCTCTTCAGAGCCAGCAGGCAGGAATGATGAAATCCACTGAAGCTGCACCCACAGCCTCCCCTTCCCCCATGTGCTCTGTCCCAGGGAGATAGAGGTTTTCTGTGTAAGCCTCTGACTAGGGCTGTTACCTTTCCTTCAAATATGACCTGCCCAATGAGGAGGACTCTAAAGAAGCAGTCTGCCACAGCCACTTTGCTGCACCCAACCCGGACCTTCCAGCCTCCTTGGCACCGTCAGGGGAAAACTGTCTACTAAAGCCTCAGTAATGGTGGACTCCACTCCCTCCAACTGACCTCAATTGGCCCAGGTCAACTTCAGACTGCTGTGCTGGCAGCGAGAATTTCAGGATGAGGAACGCATTAGCTGTTTGTGATTTTCATGTCTGTTGCAGGGATTTGACCCATTGTTAGTGCTAGATTTGGAGTCTTAAAAAACAGATTTATCTTACTGAACTCAAAGTACAACTTGAAGATGTACTCAGCTGTTTACTTAAATTAAAGCGGGAGAAAATGTATCTTTGCAGATCTATTTTTATGTCACTTGCTTTTAGACACGAGATTGTCTCTGGCACAGTAATTCAACTTAGTCTATGTCAAAAACATAGCCTGAAAATGCTCAAAAAAAATTATGAATAGCGGATTGTATTCTATGTGTTCTCAAATTTCTTCTATGATGTAAAATATATAACATAATGTTTTACCTTGGATTTCTAACCTCAGCCCTCAGCCATTTTCCCAATTTTTTTTTTTTTTGTTTTGAGACGGAGTCTTGCTCTGTCTCTCAGGCTGGAGTGCAGTGGAGCTATCTCGGCTCACTGCAAGCTCCACCTCCCGTGTTCATGCCATTCTCCTGCCTCAGCCTCCCAAGTAGCTGGGACTACAGGCACCTGCCACCACGCCCGACTACTTTTTTGTATTTTTAGTAGAGACAGGGTTTCACCGTATTATCCAGGATGGTCTGGATCTCCTGACCTCATGATTCACCCATCTCAGCCTCCCAAAGTGCTGGGATTACAGGCATGAGCCACCTTGCCATGCCCCACTTTCCCAAACTATTAAAAGACCTTCCAAGGTGGGTCAAAAGCATTTTTCAGAGAAGATTATTCCTAACAGTAAAGGATAATAACAGATGGATAAAAATCTCAAATAAATTATGCCTCTATTTGCAGAAGCGTCACTCTCCAGAGTCTCCAAGATCCAGAGAATTTCCATGAGGTAGAGTAGTTTATGGACATTTAGCAAAGTTGGTCCTGACTGCTGTCTCAGCCTCTTAATAGATGTGCAGCTATAGACAATTTACTGGACTTAGAACAGTTATATAAACCTGGGCTGCAAGAAAACGGATAACACTGATTGCAAGAATGGCAACCACTTCTCATTCCTCTCTGATCTGGGCCCTCTGCAATGTACACTTGAGGCTGCTTCCATGGAGGGAAAGATTTTCTTTTCCCAAATCTTGGATCTGGCTGGCCTTATTTGCTCTGCCTCATTCATACTTTTTGTTCTAATAAAATAATTAAGATGTTTAGCGTCTCATCCCAGCCTTTATCTTGTTAAAACTATATCTTATGATATGTCATCTCTCTTTACTATATTTGGTTATATTCATTCTATTCAATACTCAGGTAATTTTTTATCTCTGTTTAATTTAGTGTTTCACCTATACCTTGTCCTAATTTTTTTATTCTTTACATTCTACCGAGCTGTGATTCAAATATGATATTTGAATATGGAAAATGGTGGCCTAGTTTTTCTTCAGAAATGTCTTTTTATTTACTTGTGTTCTTTAGTTTTTAACTTGGTTCCAATATTTGGGAAATATCACATTTGAGATGTCTGTAGTCATGTTATTTCTGTGCTTATTCCATTTTCCCTTGGAGGAAGGTGGACAGCATACAGACTTGACATCCTTGTGATCTATCAGTATCTGAAGGGACCACTTTTTTTCAGTTTGATTACTTCTCTGGCTTATTCTCTTGATTTACTTTAGCTTTCATCAAGTGCTTCTATATTTTTAAACTGTATTCATTATTTTCATAGTTCTTGTAGCTTCTTGAGAACTTTTACTTGTCTACACTAAAATATTTAAAAATATGTAGCCTTTTCTTCTGAAAGCACAAATATGCAGTGTACACATGAGTAGAATATTTCATAGGCATTGGGCAGCATACAACCACATCTTATGAGATATTCCGTTTCTTCATTCAAAACATCTCTCTCAAATATGTAGTAATAGTCACTTGTAAGGGGTAGTTCTTTTGATACTTAAAATTTTCTTTTATGTGCCTTTATGAAAATATATACTTAACTACAGAGAACAGAACTCTGTGCTTCCTTTTAGTATGTCCTTGACCTCACAAAAATAATTCATGAAATCTTATATTTATTTTATAAATTAATTTAATGAAACAAAATTTGTGCATGGCTAAATATTACTTGTTGAGTACAATTTAGAATTTCTACTGTCATTTTAGTGTCCTAAAAGATATGAGCTGTTGAATTTCTGCTCTCATAAAATGAATGATATTGTTAGGCCTAAACCCTTGCCATTTATTTTCCCCCTCTGTCATACAGTGTGTATCTTTGGTTCACTGCTGAAAAATTTTATTAATTTTTCTCTCTTGCTAGTAGTCATACTTTCTAATAAAGTTATCATTACTTGTGTTTATTTAGTTACTGTATGTTAAACATTTGATTTCTGATGGTCTTAATGTCATTTAATATAATTGTAAATATTTCAATTTGTCATTATTAACAAATTTCTGTATTATATGTTTTAGACTCAGCTATTAAGTATATGTGGGTAAATGACTTAGAATAATTTCTAAAACATTGTAGGGGCTACTAAGTACTAATAACCCTGATTCATTAAATTTTTATTCCTTATAATATTCTTTATTGACTAAATTATTTTGTAATCTTATTTAAATTTATTCTTTTCTTTTCTAAATATTTGTGAAAAAGGGGTTAGGCTAATGTGTCATTTTGATAAAACTTCATGTCAAATGATATGTTTCACTGGTTTCTTTTAGATGTAATAGCTTTTTTGACTCAGGCAATACATGCAAGTATGAAGTATAAAAATTATAGTCTCAATCCTTAAGCTGAGTAAAAACTTGGCTATTTATTGATTTTAACAAAGCTACATTATCCCACATAATACGTAAAACTTTCACAAAGCTACATTATCCCACATAACAGGCATACCAGCTGCCTATATCTGGAAACATGGATTGTTACAAATTAGAAGTAAATAACTTGATAGGCCCAATTTAACAAATGAAGCTCAAGAAGTGGGAGATATGAGACCTATAATGAAAGATTAAATTATTTTAAAAATCTTACCACAAAGAAAAATCAGAGTCAAATACTTTAACTGTTAAATTATACAAAATATTTCATAAAAATACCAATCCTTTACAAATACACACCATACATAGATAAGAGATAAACAACCCCTAACTACTTTATGAGGCCAATATTACTATACCAAAGCCAGACAAACCCATCATGTGTTAGGATTAATATGGGTACATACGGCTGATAAATAAAGACACATAATTCTCAAAAAGTACTAATAAGTTAAATACAGAAACACGTAAAAGTAATTATACACCATGGCCAAGTACAATCTTTTTACAAATGAAGTGGCTTAATATCTAAAAACCAATAATTTAATACACAACATTGATAAAGTGAAGAACATAAAATGATCCTTTTAATAGACACAGAAAAGCTTGTGATACAAACAACACTGATTCATTATAAAATCCTTAACATACTAGGAAGGAAAAACTTACTGGAACTACTAAAAAGGATTCATAAAAATTTCCCACTAATATTACACTTGCTGATGAAAGACTAGGCTCTTTGCCTCACAGTTGTGGGAAACAGATAAGCATGGCTACTTTCGCTACTCTACTAAATTGAACTAAAGGTGTTAGGCAGAGAAATTATATAATAAAAACAAATAAAACTTCTAAATTTATAAAATAAACTTTTATTGTAAATGGCATCAACTTATATTCAAGAATTTTTAAAGAGTTTACAAAAATCAACTGGAACTAATAAATGAGTTCAGCAGGTCACAAGATACAAGATAAATGCACAATATTAAATTGCACTTTTATACAGTAACTAAGGGCAATCAGTAAATAAAATTAGAAAAAATAATTCTACTCATTAGCTCAATGTGTAGTGGCTTAAAATTCCAAATATGCATTATGTCTTATTTTCTGTTGGCTACAAATACTGACACAGCTTAGTTGAATGGGTCTACCACAATGTCCTCATGTGTCCGGAATTGGTCGGTTCTTGGTCTCACTGACTTCAAGAATGAAGCCGCGGACCCTCACGGTGAGTGTTACAGTTCTTAAAGGCAGCGTGCCTGGAGTTTTTCCCTTCTAATGTCAGCATGTGTTTGGAGTTTCTTTCTTCTGGTGGGTTCGTGGTCTTTCTGGCTCAGGAGTGAAGCTGCAGACCTTTGTGGTGAGTGTTACAGCTCATAAAGGCAGTGTGGACGCAAAGAGTGAGCAGCAGCAGGATTTATTGCAAAGAGCGAAAGAACAAAGCTTCCACAGTGTGGATGGGGACCCGAGAGGGTTGCCACTGCTGGCTCGGGCAGCTGCTTTTATTCTCTTATCTGGCCCCACCCACATCCTGCTGATTGGTCCATTTTACAGGGAGCCAATTGGTCTGTTTTACAGAGAGCTGATTGGTCCCTTTTCACAGGGTGCTGATTGATGCATTTACAATCCTTGAGCTAGACACAAAGTTCACCACGTCTCTACTAGATTAGCTAGATACAGAGTGTTGATTGGTGTATTTACAAACCCTGAGCTAGACACGGGGTGCTCATTTGTGTGTTTATAAACCTTGAGCTAGATACAAAGTGTCGATTGGTGTATTTACAATCCCTTATCTAGACATAAAGTTTCTCCAAGTCCCCACCAGACTCAGGAGCCCAGCTGGCTTCACCCAGTGGATCCCGCACCAGGGCCGCAGGTGGAGCTGCCTGCCTGCCAGTCACACGCTGTGCTCCCGAACTCCTCAGCCCTTGGGTTGTCGATGGGACTGGGTGCCATGGAACAGGGGGTGGAGCTCGTTGGGGAGGCTCGGGCCGCACAGGAGCCCTTGGCAGGAGTGGGGGAGAGGCTCAGGCAAGGTGGGCTGCAGTTCCCGAGCCCTGCCCCGTGGGGAGGCAGCTAAGGCCTGGCGAGAAGTCGAGCACAGCAGCTGCTGGCCCAGGTGCTAAGCCCCTCACTGCCTGGGGCTGGCGGGGCCAGCTGGCCGCTCCAAGTGCGGGGCCGCCAAGCCCACGCCCACCCGGAACTCGCGCTGGCCCGGAAGCACCGCGGGCAGCCGCGGTTCCTGCCCGCTCCCCGCAAGATAAGGGAGCCGGCTCCGGCATTGGCCTGCTGAGAAAGGGGCTCCCACAGTGCAGCGGTGAGCTGAAGGGCTCCTCAAGCGCGGCCAGAGTGGGCACCAAGGCTGAGGAGGCACCAAGAGTGAGCGAGGGCTGTGAGGGCTGCCAGCATGCTGTCACCTCTCACTCATGAGACTGAAGCTGTGTCTCAACTGAAGCTTGACTGGGAAGGATGCACTTCTGAGCTCAATCTGGTTAGTTGTGCATTATTGTTTTGACTCAGTTCTTAGTTTCTTTCTGTCTTTGGTCAGGGCACTCTCTCTATTCTCTGTCACACAAGCCTGTAAAAATGAAAGCTTAAAACACTGAAGCTCGCTTCTCCAGAGCAAAGTATGCGACAGACAGAGAGAAAGACAGGAAAAAAGGAAGTAAACAATATCACAAGAGAGAGAAAGTAAGAAGCAAGTGACAATCTTTTCATAATCAAATATTGGCAGTGACATTCCCTATTTTCCAATGTATTCTACTGCCATGAAGTGAGTCACTAACCACTTACTGTTTACATTTGGGTGTGTATAGTTGGAAATAAAAATTATTATGAGCCATCATGAAGGCTGTGCACTACGTATGCCAAGGTGAGACAAATGGGCCTGATTCTAAATATAACGAGAAGGTACTACAATGTGTGTTGTTGTTATTGTTGTTGTTCTGGCCAAAGAATAACAACATCTAAATTTTATTCAATTTCAATGTTTTCATGGTGGAGTTTGAAAAATAAATTCAAGAGGGGACATGACTTTCTCAAGATTCAAGTTATAAAACCCAGGCATGTTTGAGAGATATTCAAGCAATGTCCCATCCCTTGTAGTTTCTTTCTCTAAGTTTATGCAGTAGCTGTGTTTAATATCAAACCCAACAGTCATGCGTATCATTTTATACATATCTCATGAGATCCCTTGCAGCTGGATGCCACCATAATCCCCACTGTGCAGGCTGTGAGACTATGGAGCCCCTGAGAGGCACAATGACATACTTGGCATCACATAATTAATACATTAAACATAAAGACTTTAACTCAGCTTGTATCCTCAAACTTGTGGCTCTGGCTGCATTCCATTTCCTCCGGCACTGGTGCAGGAGGTGCTGTATTTGCATAATTGTGCACAAGTAATCAGATGACTTGGGAGAGAATGGTGAGCAGTCAGCAGTGCAGAAAAGCCTTTGAGTAGGTCTTATTGAAGGAAGATAGGTCTTATTGAAAGAAGAATAATACCTTCAAGAAGTGACCTCATTTCTTTGGTGAAAGGTCCTAACAGTACTAAGTATTCTGGTAACCAAAAACTCACATTCTAAAGACAGTCCACCATGCAGCACTGTTGGCCAGAATCTCTCAAGAGAGAAAGATGTTCTGCTGTATAACAACTTTCTGAGGCTCTTTCTTGTGAGGTTCTGTTCCTCACAAGTAGCACCTTCTAGCTATGTCTTCACACGACAGAAGGGGCATGAATATTCCTTTCAACCTCCGTCACACGGGCACTATTATTTTCTCGTTAACATGCAGCCCTCCTGACTTAATAACTTTCTCAAAGTTCCAATAACTAATAGTATCACACTGAATCCACGTGTGGATTAAGTTTTTAAATATGAATGTGGAGAGTGAGGAACACAAATATCCAGACCATAGCAAAAAGTTAATAAGCAATAACAATTGCAGTGGACAGTATTATTAATGCTTGGGATATGGGAATTTGATGTTTCTATCACAAAGGTTAAACAATGGTTTATCCTTGGCCGGGCATGATGGCTCAAGCCTGTAATCCAAGCACTTTGGGATGTCAAGGCAGGCGGATCACAAGGTCAGGAGATCGAGACCATCCTGGCTAATACGGTGAAACCCCGTCTCTACTAAAAGTCCAAAAACATTGCTGGGTGTGGTGGCGGGCGCCTGTAGTCCCCGCTACTAGGGAAGCTGAGGCAGGAAAAAGGTGTGAACCCAGGAGGTGGAGCTTTCAGTGAGCTGAGATCACACCAGTGCACTACAGCCTCGGAGACACAGCAAGACTCCATCAAAAAAATAAAATTAAATTAAAACATATAACAAAATTAAGGTCCAATTAAAGGTAAATATATATAGCAAAAAAAAAATTCAAGCTCTGATAAGGTTAATTGTAACAGATTGTGCCAGAATTTTGAGATTTCTGGAGATGGACAGAGCCCAAGAGTTTCCTTCTATAACAATTTCTGTGAAGTTTCTTACACTCTTATTCAATTTGAACGTGGATAAATGGGTTTTCTCTGTTTTGTTATTTAAGAGATTCATGATAAGGAAGGCCTATTTATGCATGATTCTTAAACAATTATTGAGTCAGTGGTGTCTGCTGAGGAAGGGCACAGAATCTCATGCCCACAGAAGCATGATGTTCTGTCAGATAGGAGACTTCTCCCAGAGCCAGAACTTCATCTTTCAAATGGAATTAGAGATTTTCACAGGCATACATTGCTCTGAAGCCCTATCAGAGGCTTAGCACTGAGAATATGACCAAAGAAGGTGACTAATAAACATATGACCTAGTACTCTGATCTACAGTGATTCTACCCTCTCAAATAGCTCTTCCCTGGCTCTGGAATCTTTTCTGGATTCATCTACCAGAAACAGATACACTGAAAGATTGAGAAGAAGCTTTTATTCTCACTGTGAGTCTTGCCCTGTCTCACCATCTTCTCTAGAAGTGCAATGTTCTAACTATTCCTGAGAGACTTCATCTCAGGTAGCTCTCTCTGACAACATAATTGAGAAGAGAAACGAGCAAGACTCAGATTATTTTGAAGGCTTGTCTAGGGTTCTTACATGATTTATGTCTCCAATTTATGTCAATATTGACAAATATAGATTCATCTCTAGATGGTAGAAAAACAGAAGGAGGAGCCTCTGCTCACAGAGAAAATAAAAGATGAATTCAATGTTTTGTAGAGCCAGCTTATTTTAAACCATGGGGCATTTAATCTTTTTAGAAAAAAACAAAAGCAATAGGGTTTTTTGTTTTTGTTTTTGCTTTTGCTTTTGTGTTTTCGTTTTGGTTTTTTTTTGTTTGTTTGTTTTTTCCCTGAAGCAACTCAACTGTGGCCTCAGACAACTGGGCACTGAGAACGCATGCTCCTCACTAGAATTTCATTACTACATTGCAGAGAAATGGGATAATTACAAAGGATTTTTTTTTTTTTGAGATGGAGTCTTCCTCTGTCATCCAAGATGGAGTGCAGTGGCATCATCTCAGCTCACAGCAACCTTGGTCTCTCAGGTTGAAGCAATTCTCCTGCCTCAGCCTCCCAAATAGCTGGGACTACAGGCATGTGCCACCTTGCCTGGGTAATTTTTATATTTTTAGTACAGACTGGGTTCCACCATGTTGGCCAGATGGTCTCGATTTCCTGACCTCGTTATCCACCCTCCTTGGTCACCTAAAGTGCTGGGTGTGAGCTGCTGTGCCCAGCCCAAAGGATTCTTAAGGGTGATATGGGGGATGGAATGGAAAAAATAAACTTAGTCTTTGCACTTCCACCTGGTCTAACTAACCCTACTCTCATCCTATCCCAAAATTATTGCCAGACTTTTCTGGAGTGTGCCAGGGGCAATTCAGAAGGAAAAGAGGTTATTCATGCCTATCCATTTCCCATAGCTCCTGAGATCTAAGTCGTTCACTCCCCTGGTTTCAGGTTGTTGCTCCCCTTCTATATCCTCAGAATTAATGTGATCCATTCCAATACTTATAATTGTACCTTTATCTGATCCCCTCCTATTTTGCTGTAGACATTTTATGTAGTAGATCCAGTTGTAATAGAGACAAGAATGTTTATATACACCATAATCAGAACTAAATTGGAGTTCCATAACCCCTTTTTTGACTGGGCTGCTACTCAGAAATCATACAAACCAGGCTGCCTGGAGGTTGCAGTTAGGAGAAATCACATCTTGCCCAGGAATGTCAGTGTGGAAACTCAGATTTGGAAAATAGATTCCTATAGCCCCAATCATTTTGCAACACTTCTGCAGAGTTAAAAGAAAGCCAGTATCTAACAGAAAATCTTGAGCTTGCAGAATAACAGAAAAGAAAAAAAAAACAAAAACACAACTTGCCAAAACACTGAAACTCCCTCTACTTATGAAATAAACAAACTGGCTTAAATTGGTGGAATCATTATGGCCAAATGGTGTTTTGGCAGAATCACCTTGCTGAGGTCACCGTCTGAATTTTCACTGCCTGTTTCATCACAACTCCCCTTCAGTTTGCCCATGACATCCATGAGGAGGCAATGAGCTTGAGAGTAACGTTTCAGTATAAAATTGCTTTCTCTTAAAAACCTGATGTCATAGTATTGGCTTCTAGCACTTCAAGAAGTGAGCTCCTTTTACTCAATAACAATGTTATCTATATCTTAGAGACAGTCAACAGGAGATAATCTCTTCTGGGACCAAAGAAGGTGACTAATAAACCATTTAATCAACACATTACCTAACCAAAAGCTGTGGACCCTGATGAGGAAAATAAGTTAAAATGAGACTATTGGCTCATTTTAATAGATATGGTGATAAAAGCAAAAAAAAAAAAAAAAAAAGAGAGAATTTAAGCGGTCTCAAATACCTAAAAGATGACATGGATTAGCTTCAAGTAACACATAATGTGGCTGGAGTCAGCTGATCTTTATGCTGAAAGTGTCAACAGTAGTGACAAATACTTCAAGTAACGGGTCAAAAGTCTAAGACAGTCATTCTGCCAGAAATGGTCTGGGACTTCCCCATACATGGGACACGTAGATCAACTTTCTCCAAGAACCACCAACCTGGCATGCAGTGATGACCTCTGCAGTAGACAGGGATTTAGGCTTGATTGTTGTTCATCTCTTTGGAGACATAACCCTAATTGTGAACTTCTAAATTAATGGCCTGACAATTAGATCAGCAGCTAAGATAAATTTCAGTTTGCAGCCCCAAAGAAGATGTTCTTAATTAGACAGTTAATCATTTTCAATATGGAAGCCTAAACACGTAGAATGTGGCAATAACCCGGAACTCTCAGTTCTGACAATTGAGTGAAGTAATCACCCCAGATTCAGGTTCCTCATTGGCTGACAATGAGATCAAACACCCACACCAGCCCAGTGAACACCATGAGGTGTCATCTTCCCTGGCCCATTAGTGAACCAGGAACAGATATTTAGAAAATATTCAGTAAATTGGGGAGTCCCACAGAGTCAGAAAGTTTGCTTGAGATAGTAGAGGGTGGCATAAAATTTCTACCGAATATGAATTTTAATTTTTACTTTAGTGCCGTTTCTATTTTAGTCTAATTTCCTTCTAGAATATGTTATTTCTATTTACCAAGTGGCCTCCTGTGGTCTTTTTCATAGAGTTCAAATCGACCCATCTAAAAACAGAAAGATCAAGCTAACGACCTCCCTCAGGGGTCAGAATTCAGTTTCACAGCTCTGTAGCAAGCTCATTGTTGACTTACAAATTAGTGTAACCAATAGTAACGTCATGGTGACCATAACTCCAACATCCCAAAAAGTACCTCAAGTTAGAGGCTGACTTCATTTATCAGAGGATTCAAATGGCAAAATCAAGCTTTACTAGATCACTGGATTACTGGAAGAAGTGAGCAATGCGAATCTGCAATATAGTTTCACTAAACTTTAATAGGACAGCAAGACTGTAGATATTTTAGCCCTCTCAAAATATGAATCTTCTGATCCTTTCATCTAGAATCTCTATGTGTGCCATAAAGTCCTAACTCTGCTTGTGCCTATACTTTCTGTTCATGCAGAGATTAAAAGACAAACAGGTGGGAGCTTAGTGTTTTAGCGTTTTTCCTGAGAATCTGTCTAGCCTAGAGCATCCCCATTTTTTTCTAGATTCCAAGGAGTACTATCACTATCCTAATTCTCAGTGTCTTGTTTCCAAGTATTTCCTCCTACGATTGTCAGCGTGACTACCTTTTTACCCCACTGATAGTGTTTGCTCCAGGTGAACTGGGTAGTTCATTTTTATTTAAATGCTTCCATAAGCGTTAAGCTATTAATTTAAGATTTCTTTGTTTTTTATAAAGTAATTCTGCTGTTTCCCTCAGAGCTCAACTTTCACTAAGTCTCATAAATTTTATTATGTTTTGTCTAAATGTCTATTTATGTTAAAATATTCTCTGACACTATTTGTACATTTTTTATTCATTAATTATTTAAGATTGTGTCATTTAATGCACACATGTTTGCATTTCCCAAATTTCTTGCTTTTTTGGTCTCTAATTTTCTCTTTTGTGATTAGAAAACATTCATTTTATTATTTCAATCTTTCAATTTTATTGATTTTTTTTATGATGCAGCATATTCTCCATTCTAGAGAATGTTCTATGTGCATTTGGGAAGAATATACATTCTGATTTGGGGTGAAGAGTTCTCCATATATCTCTAGTTTTATTTGGTTTATGTTATTCATGTCTTCTATTTCCTTGTTTCTCTTATGTCTAGTTCTTCTACCCAATAGTGTAAGTGGGGAAGTGAAGCTTGCAATTTTTATTGTTGAAACTATTGTTGCAACTATTTCTGCCTTTATTTCTATCAGTTTTGCTTTATGTACTTCTGTGAACTTTTGTTACATTCATATATGTTAATTTATTTTCCTCATGAATTTATCCTTCTAATTATAATCTATCTTCATCTCTAGTAATAGTATTTGTTGTCTTAAAGTATATCCTAATTTTTTTATTTTTGGTTTTTCTGGGTGCATAGTAGGTGTATACCTTTATGAAGTATATAGAATATTTTGATACCGTCATACAATGTGTAATAATTACATCAGAGTCAATGGGGTATTCATCACATGAAGTATTACTATTGGATTTCAAATAACCAAATTATACAATTTCTGTTATTTTAAAATGTACACTTAAATTATTCTTAACTAGAGTCACCTTGTGCTGTCAAATGCTAGAACTGATTCATTCTTTCTAACTATATTTTTATACCCATTAACCATTCCCACCTCCCCGCCCTCAACCTTCTACTACTTCTCTCAGCCTCTGGAGACCATCATTCTACTCTTTATCTCCATTAATTCTTTGGTTTTAATTTTTAGCTTTAACAAATAAGTGAGAACGTGTGAAGTTTGTCTTTCTATACCTGGCTTATTTCACTTAATAAAATGACCTTCAGTTTAACCCATGTTTTTACAAATGACAGAATCTCATTCATTTTTATGTCTGAATAGTACTACATTGTGTATATGTACCACTTTTTTGTTTATTCATCTGTCGATAAACACCTATGTTACTTCCAAATCTTGGCTATTGTGAATAGTGTTGCAGTAAACACAGGAGTACAGCTATCACTTCAATACACAGATTTTTCTCTCTTTTGGATATATACCTAACAGTGAAATTGCTGGATTGTACAGAAGCTCTATTTTTAGTTTTCTGATGAACCTTCAAGCTGTTCTCCATAGTGGTTCCACCAACTTACATTCCCACCAACAGCATATGAGGGTTCCCTTTTCTCCGCATGCTTGTCAGCATTTGTTATTGCCTTTTAGCTAAAACCCACTTTAACTGGGGTGAGGTAATAGCTCATTGTAATTTTGATTTGCATTTCTCTGATGATTCATGATGTTGATCATCTTTTCATATACCTATTTGCCATTTGCGTGTCTTTATTGGAGTAATGTCTGTTTACATATTTTGCCTATTTTTTAAAATAGGATTATTAGATTTTATTTTCTATAGAGTTATTTGAGCGCCTTCTATGTTTTGGTTACAAATCCATTTTCAGATAGGTAGTTTGAAAATATTTTCTTTCATTCTGTGGGTTGTTTTCTGACTTTGTTGATTCTTTTCTGTGCCATGCAAAATTTTATAACTTGGTGTGATACCAATTTTCCATTTTGCTTTGGTTGCCTGTGCTTGTGAGGTGTTACTCAAGAAATCTTTGCTTAATCCAAGGTTTTTTAGAATTTCCCCAATGTTTTCTTTCAGAAGTTTCATAGTTTGCAGTTTTACATTTAAATATTTAATCCATTTTGATTTAGTTTTTGCACATGGCAAAAGATAGAGGTCTAGTTTTATTCCTCTGCATATGGATATCCAGATTTACCATCACTGTTTATTGAAGAGACTGAGTTTTTATTCTTAATATATTTTCTTGGTGCCTATGTAAAAAATGAGTTCACTGTAGATGGATGGTTTGGTTCTGGGTTCTCTATTCTGCTCCATTTTCCTGTGTGTCTGTTTTTATGCCAGTACTATGCTGTTTTGGTTACTACACATCGGTAGTATAATTTTGTGTAATGTAATAATGTATGCTATGTAATGGGATTCCTCCAGTTTTATTCTTTTTGCTCAGGATAGCTTTAGCTATTCTAGGTCTTTTGTGATTATATATAAATTTAAGATTTTTTAGAGCTGTTGTATTTATTTGTGTGAGGAATGTCAATGGTATTTTTACAGAAATTGCGTTGAATCTGTAGCTTGCTTTGTGTAGCATGGACATTTTAATATTGATTCTTCCAATCCATAAACACAGAACACTGACTAATACAATCTGCAAATGGGTAGTTTGACTTCCTCTCCTCTTATTTGAATGCCTTTATTTTTTTCTCTTGTCTGATTGCTCTGGCCAGGATTTTCAATACTATGTTGAACAGGGCTGGTAAGAGAGGGCATCTTTGTCTTGTGCCAGTTTCCAAGAAAAATGCTTCCAGTTTCACCCATTCAGTATAAAGTTGGCTGTGGGTTTGTCATAGATGACTTTTATTATTTCAAAGCATGTTTCCTCAATACCTAGTATATGGAGAGTTTTAACATAAAGTGGTTTTGAATTTTAATGAAAGCTCTTTCTGCATCTATTACAATAATCATGAGGTTTTTGTCTTTCGTTCTGTTTGTATTATGAATCACATTTATTGATTTGCATATGTTGAACCAACCTTGCATCCCAGGGAAAAAGCCTACTTGATTGTGGTGGATAGGCTTTTTGGTGTGCTGCTGGATTTGGTTTGCCAGTATTTTATGGAGAATTTTTGCATCAATATTCATCAAAGATATGAAATTTTTCTTTCTTTTGCTTTTCTTCCAGGTTTTGATATCAGAAGGGTGCTGGCCTCATAGGATGAGTGAGGAAGATGATCCTCCTCAAATTTTTGGGAGTTTCAGTAGGAATGATACCAAATTCTTCTTTGCATATCCAGTAGAATTTGGCTGGGAATTCGTCTTTTCCTGGGCTTTTTAAAATTGATAGTCTATTTATTACAGATTCAATTTTGGAGCATGTTATTGGTCTGTTCAGGGATTCAATTTCTTCCTGGTTCAGTCTTGGAAAGGTGTACATGTCCAGGAATTTATCTATTTGTTCTAGGTGTTGTAGTTTTTTTGCATAAAGGTGTTCATCATATTCTCCGATGTTTATTTCTATTTCTGAGGAGCCAGTGGTAATATCCCCTTTGTTGTTTCTGATTGTCTTTGTTTGGATCTTCTCTCTTTTCCTCTATATTAGTCTAGCTAGTAGTCCACATTTAAAACAAAACCTACTCCTGGATTCATTAATCTTTTAGTTTCTTTGTGTGTGTCCTAATCTCAGTTTATCTCTGATTTTGGTTATTTCTGTCTTCTTCCAGCTTTGGGGTTGGATAGCTCTTCATTCTCTAGATGTTTTAGTTGTGATATTGAGTGGTTAAATTGAGATCTTTGTTACTTTTTGTGGTGGGTGTTCAGCAACATCAGTTTTTTTCTCAACACTGATTTAGTTGCATCTCAGGGATTCTGGTAGGTTGTGTCTTTGTTCTCATTACTTTCAAATAACTTTTTGATTGATGCCTTAATTTCATTATTCACACAAAAGTCATTCAGGAGTGAGTTATTTAATTTTTATGTAATCATATGGTATTGAGTATTGGTTTTCTCAACTTTTACCTCCAATTTTACTGTACTCTGGTCTCGGAGAGTGGTTGTCATAATTTGAATTCTTTTATAATTTCTGAGAACAGTTTTATGTCGATTAAGTGGTTGATTTTAGAGTATGTGCCATGTGGCAATGAGAACGTATATGTTGTTGTTTTTGGTGGAGAGTTCTGAAAGTGTCTGTTACATCCATTTGATCCAGTGCTGCATTCAGATCTTGAATATCTTGTTAATTTTCTGCCTTAATAATCTAATATTGTCAATGGGTTGTTGAAGTTTTTCACTATAATTGTGTAGGAATCTAAGTCTTTTTAAAGACCTCTAAGAACTTGCTTTATGAATTTGGGTGTTCCTGTGTTGGGTGTGTATATATTTAAAATGTATATATTTAAATATGAATACATATATTCTTGTTGAATTTAACCCTTTAGCATTTTGTAATGCCTTTTTGCCTTTTTAAATCTTTGTTGTTTTAAAGTCTGTTTGTCTAAACTTAGGGTTGCAACCCATTCTTTCTGCTGTTTTCCATTTGCTTGGTAGATTTTTATCCCGTCATTTTCAGCCTATGAAACTGATTGCATGTGAAATGAGTCTTGATGACAGCATATCATTGGTTCTTTGTTCTTTATCCAGTTTCCCACTGTTTGCCTTTTAATTGGAACATTCAGCCCATTTACATTCATAGTTAGTGTTGATATGTGTGCATTTGATGCTGCCATTATAATGGTAGCTGCTTATTATGCAGACTTGTTTGTGCGCAACTGGTCTGTATACCTCAGTGTGTTTTTTTAGTGGCTAATAAAGGTTTTTTTCACCTATATTTAGTTCTTCCTTCAGGAGCTCTTGTAAGGCATGTCTTGTAGTAATGAATTTCCTCAGCATTTGCCTGTTTAAAAAGAACTTTATTTCTCCTTTACTTATGAAGCTTAGTTTGGCCAAATACGAGATTGTTGATTGGAATTTATTTTCTTCAAGGAGGTTAAATATTGGTATTGGTCTCTTCTGGCTTGTAGGATTTCTGCTAAAAGGCGTACTTTTACACTGATAATCTTTCCTTTGTGGTTGACCTCCCTTTCCTCTCTAGCTGCATTTGACATTTTTTCTTTTATTTCATGCTTGAACAATCTGATAACTATGTGTTTTGGTGATTATTATATTATGAAGTATCTTACTGGAGTTTTCTGCATTTCCTAAATTTGAATGCTGGCCTCTCTAGCCAGCATTCCCCAGGTTGGGGAAGTTCTCATGAATGATATCCTAAAATATGTTTTTCAAATGGCTTCCATTCTCCCCACCTGTTTCATGAACACCAGTGGGTCATACCTTTGGTCTCTTTACATAATCTTATATTTTTCAGAGGCTTGGGGGTTTTTATTACTCTTTTTTATTTCTGTCTGTATGTCTTACTTCACATAAACAGTCTTCAAACTCTGAGATTCTTCCTTAGCTTTGTCTATTCTACTATTAATAGTTGTGAATTTCTTATAAAAAAATTTAGTGTGATTTTTTTAGCTCTCTCAGGTTAGTTATGCTCTTAATACTGGCTCTTTTGTCTCTCAGCTCCTGTATCATTTCATTATGATTCTTAACGTTTTTGAATTGAGTTTCAAGTTACTTCTGCATTTTAATGATCTTTATTTCTATTCATATTCTGAATTTGATTTCTGTAATTTTAGCTATCTTGGACTGATTTATAACCTTACTGGAGAGGTACTGTGACCATTTGAAGGAAAAGAGGAACTCAGGTTTTTTGAGTTGTCAGAGGTTTTGTGCTTGTTCTTTCTTATCTTTCTGGGGTGATATTTCTTTAATATTTGAAGTTGTCAACTTTTGGATTTTTCCTTTTATTCTGCTTGATGACCTTAAGGGTTTAATTGTGTTATAAGGTTGGCTCAGTCAAGTGGTTTTGTGTGTATTCATGCAGGCGAAGGTGGCTGCTCAGGGCTGAGGAGAGTATGCTGTTTTTTGTGCTTAGTTGTACTCAAATGACAGTGTTGACAAAGGAGCAGGGTGCTGGTGTTGTGGGGCAGATGGCCTCTGTTTCCCCCAAGATTCTGTCTGCAGTGGTGGTATAGCAGGAGAGGGGGCCTGGAGTACACTCCTACCAACAGCAGTGCCAGGGCAGAATGCATATGCACATGTGCACTGACAGGACAGGGAAAGCAAGATCCTTCCATGCACACACACACACACACACACACACACCAGCATAGTGATGTGTGGGGTGGCAATGGGCCTTGGGGGGAAGCTGCAGTGAGGAGAGGCAGCAGGCAGGCTGATGCCTGGATGGGGTCACCCCACTGGAGCTGTCTACTAGTCAGACATGATCTGCCAGTTCAGGATCTATGATGCAGGCCCCCAGGGTACTCAAGGCTGCACTGCAAGCATGCAGGGCCGAATTGGGGTCGCAGGAGAGGCCAGCACACCAACGCAAGCTCAGGTCAAAACAGCCCCATCTGATGGGCCACCACCCTGCAGACTTTTTGTCCAAAATTTCCCCTAGGGCTAACGTCTCTTATGGGAGCAAGTTAAGCTTATTGGTGTGGGCATCCCTGGACATGCTTCACTACACATGTTCCCACAATAAACCCTCTTGGCTGTGCACTGGCTGGTGTGCTGCCCCTGTCACTTCTCTAAGCAGCTCTTCCTTTCAACTCATTTTCCATGATGGTCAGAGGGTCTCTGCCAGTGGGATTCCAGAGGCCAGTCAGGAAAGCAGGTAGCTCCTTGCCACTTAAACTCACCTGTTTTTCTCAGAGTCACTGGGGGCCAGAAATCAGTTCCACTGTGCTTTAGCCCTGTGCAGGGTTCCCAGCTTCTGAATCTTAAGTTCAGATGTTGTGTCTTTCCTCCATCACTATCAGTACCTGCCCTCGGTTAAGAGTGTGCCAGTCATCCTGGTCCCTTGGTGTCAGCTGTTCCACCTTGGTTTGTCTATTCAGCCATCTTGCTCAAATACACAAAGTCTTATAAATCAATAATAAATAGACAATTGACTACTTGAAAAATGTGCAAGGAATTTGAATTAAAAATTTCTACAGATAAGAAGCAAAATTTGTCATTAAATTTAAAATATGTGACATTATTAGTTTAGAGAAATGCAAATCAAAAGCTCAATGACATACTTACTAGAAGACCTGTAAAAGGCAATAAAAAAGGTTGCCAAAGATATCAAAAATATGAAAGCCTCACACATTGTATGTGGGAGTGTAAAAAACAACCGATTTAAAGAACAATTTGGCAATTATTCAAAATGCTATAAATAGTATCACCATATGACTGAGACATTTTACTCTGTTACGTACTCAAAAGAAATGAAAACCTATGACTACACAAAGAATCAGATGTAAATGATCAAAGGAGCAGTATTTGTAATAGCCCAAAGGGGATAAAACCAAAATATCCATCAAATAATAACAGAAAAAATAACGTGTGGTGTGTCCATACAATAAAATACTATGTGCCAAACAAAGAAAATGAAGTAATAATACCTGCTATGTCAGGAAAAAACCTCAAAATCACTAAAGTAAGTAAAATAAACCAAATGCAAAAGGGCAGATAATTTATGATTTCACTTAAAATAACTTTTAATAAAAGGCTTATATATAAAAACAGGCTAATGATTGCCTATGACCAGGGTAATGAAATCAGTAAGTACAAAAGAGATTAATTTCTTTTTCCATAGTGATAAGGTGATTTCAAAATTAGATTGTGGTTATGGGTGTCTGTAAATACACTTTAAGAACTTGGAATTGTACACTTAAAACATGTGATGGTTTTGTTATAAGATTATATCCCTCTAAAATGTTTCCAAATGAAACTGTTGACTTTTGGAGAACTAAGTCACAGACTGTAAAACCAAACCCATTTATTGTTCATCTCAAGGCATGTTAAATAAAGAGGAAAAGACAAAGATATAGTTATAACATTAAAATCTTCATGGCAAATAGTTATAAGAAAAAAATTACAATTGTAAAATGTATTAATAGACATAAATTACCTGCTTAGATTTACCAGGCCAGAAATGTAAATTAAATAATAGTACACTATTGAAGACCACTCTGAGTCACTGATTATTAGAAACTTGTTATGATGTCATCATAAGGTTAAAATATTCCTTATCAAAAATGACTCACAGCAAAAATGTTAAATAAAGTGTGTTAGTGGCACCCCTGTCCACAGTTGCTGGTACTTTTAGTGTATGGCCAATTAGAAAGCTGCTCTTTTGTCCCTCATTTGTAACCAATTTCAACACTCAAATTCAATATTGAACTCCTAAATTTATTGATAAAACATGTGAGAAGATGTTTAAATTATATATTTAAAAGATATTATGAAAATAAAAAATCTTAGCAAACATAGGGAGAATTATAAACTAACATTTATCATACATACCCACCACAAGGCTTCAGCAATTCTCACATTTTTTATCTTTCATTTTTAATTATCAACTTCAATTATTCTGGTAATATTTTCAAGTAAGCATATTATGTTGTCAGTTTGTAGAAATTTGAGTACCTATATCTAAGAAATAAAAAGAAAAATAAAAATAGTACTATAAAATCTAAGTAAATACAAGTATTTTCTAATATTGTACTAAAGAGTTTCTTGATTCTTTACGTGCAAAACAGTAGAACTTAGCAACCTCCAAGACTTTATGAGAAATAACAATTTAAGACTAATATTTATCCTGGAGACTCAAAGTGACTATAAATAAATATATCTTTAGTTAATAAAGCTTAAAAATAAAGTATTAATAAAAACACATTTTGAAGATGGCTGACACCTTTGTTACTAGACATGGGGCTTGTGCTGTAAATAACTAGTTTAAAAGTCCATGGAAAAGGGATTTTCAACCAAAAAGTCTATAGAAAACAAAAAATTTTGGTTTTTCTGAACTCAGGATGTGAGGCCAGCTTTTAAAGCACTGAATTTAAAAAGCCCTCAAGACCCTAAGCTTGATAAGCACGTCACCAGCAGGTCTCATTTTTCAGCTCTGTGCACCAGGTGGCATGTCTAGCAAAATGTCCCCTCTCATGTCAGGTTTTTTCTATGAACTCAGAATGACCACTGTCCCTTAGTATGCAGCCCTGCAGTGGACCCAAAAATGACAATCAATCAGGTCCAGAGTTGCTCATTATGGCCTTTCCAGAATGTAATTATCTAAGGACAATTCTCCCCCTTGTAAAATTAAGAAAGTATCAGAATATTTGCCTAATTTTTGATAACATCATACTGTGAGCCACAAAAAAGCAAGAATTTAAAATGTAAGGGATTATCTGGATCCTAGGGCACAGAAATACACCTCAAATAGAATAGTTTCACACACGATTTTATATGTGGACTTCCTGTGTGGAAGAAAAGAATGTGGGGGTCAATAGTAGAGAAGTCTGTATGTAGTGGAATTTTAAGAAATCAGAGAGGCCGATGGGGTTCAGGAGGGTATTTATTAATTATTTAGGTGCACTGGTCCAGTGGATTAACATCCAAAGAATGAGTCCTGAACAAAGAGTTAAGTTACCTTTTAAGCATTTCATGGGTGGGGAGAGATTTGTGCAGGGAGAATCATACTACAGAAGCAAGAAACAAAGACAGTTATTCAATTGAGACATGCATTACATTATTTCTTACTTTTCAAGGAAAAACCTGTTTTGTGACTTGAATTTATCTGTCTAGTGACCTTGCAGCTTCACAGCTTGGGAAACAGGGTCTTCACAATCCCTGGGAAAGGAGGAGAGATAAGGATCACTAGCCACAGAAAAACAGGCAGTTAGTTTTTAAAGGACTCCAGCTCTTACTCTTTCTCAACAGAAGTTGGGTTTTCTTACACACAAGTGAGTTTCTGCTTACACACTCTTTAATCTCTTATAATTCCTGTTCCATTCTCCCCATTGGTGCTTTTTATAACAGAGGTGTTAATAGAAAGCACCATTATTTGCCAAGTCTTCATGGAGCTGAGCTTTTTCTTCTTCTGGCGGTGGCTGATATCTGGTTAATGCATCAACTGTACAGACTGTACAGTAGTGTTTTGGGCTACCATTGCCTCCATAGTTGACTGAATACTCCTAATAAACAGAGACAAAAGGCAAGGGAGGATAAGGCAGATGCAAAGAATAAGCAAGAACCTACTAATGAGGGTTTAGAATTTTTCAAATGCTGAGAACCATCCTCCAAACAAGGAATCCGGGGACTACCTGGATCAAGTCTGAAGTGGAACCTGGGCCAACTTGTGCATTCTAGCTGTAATTTTTATGACCACTAATATTGATTTCTTGGCTATTGATTTCTAGGCAACAGTTGGTTAAATTAAATTTTCTACATATTCCTCCTTCGGAGGATAAGAGATAATTTAAAGCCAGCCTATTTTGATATATAGCATTTCCTTTTTGTGTTGCTTGTATTGCCAATAAATCTAGTGCCCTCGATATTTCATTGGTTATGATTTGAAGGACTGCCTGCAACTTCATGATGCGGCTGAGGATATAGATTATGGTGCAGTACCCTCATGACCTGTCTTGCACCTAGGTAGCTGGCCCATAGCATGTCATGATTCTTTCAGGAGGTCATTTATTATCTTTTTAGTCTCCTGTGTCCACATCTTTTTTGATATTTTTGTTACTTTTGTGATTATGCTTTTTCTAGTTCTTCTTTTATTTTTATTATAAACTGGATATTCTAAGAATTTCCCTTGCTTTAGAGGAATTAGAAAGAAGGATGGCTTGATTGCTTTTAACAGACATGTCCCTGCCCATTTTGCTGGCAGTTGCCAATATGCCCATGCTCCACAGATCCAATATAGGCCAGAGGGTGCCTTTCAAGCATTTGAATCATCTACCTGATGCCAAGTGCAGCTTAGAGTAAGGAATCCAGAGAAAGTGTTTGGATCTGGTAAGTAGGAGTCATTCTGGGCATTTCTTCATAGAGTTTTGTTTTTAGTCTCGTAATAATACTGTTGCCCTAGGAAGGTTGTTTTTCCTACTGCGTCTGTGAAAGCCTTTCCCCATCGAGTGATACAGTACTTTCCAGTTATGGAGATTTTTAACAATCAAACACTGGCTGAGGCTGTTGGTTCACTGGCAGGGTTAAGCAAAGTGAAGTTATCTTGTGGCATTAATTCCTTTGCCTCCCATTGCCACTCATTCTCCATATTAGTTTCTCTACATACATAGCATGAAGAAATTTTTAAGCTGCCATCTGTGTTTTCAGCTAGTTGAGCAAATAAGTTTTTGGTTGATGGGGGAACCTCGGGCACTGGCTGATCAAAATGCTTACAGAATGACTTGGTATTGAGGGGTTGGATGCATTTGAGTCCTTATAGTATTTTTGACAATTAGTAGTGGAACTCCAAGACCTGCTCCTTGTCTATCAACTGGTAATAGTGCTGTCTGTCCTGTAGACCAAAAAGGTAGCTCTGGCTTTAAGATAGTAAAATTTAAAGGATCGCATGTCCTTGTCTTACAATCTGGTTTTTAGGATTATGAACATACGTGGCATGGCAGTCATCAAAGAAGAAATAGGCCCTTTTTAGAAGGGTGGGATTTCTTTGGTTTGAGCTATAAGCTTTCCTTCTGTTTCTCCCTCTGATATAATATTTACCTCAAAATAGAATTAATAGGGTAAGAGCCCAGGCTCATAACATACATATAGCTGATTATTTCCTCAGTCACAGACTGAATAGGTGGTCTGGTTGTATATGCATATTCCTAATTTGCTTCCTGTACATTCATAGTAGGTATGGTACAGTAGAGTTTTAACTGTGGTATTTTTTATCCAGGTAATGTGTACACAGCATGGACATCCTTCAAGAGATTTATCCCCTTTCAGTATAAGCATAAATGGTAACAACATTGTTGTATGTAATAGAAACATGCTTACACTACACATGGGCACAAAAACTTTCCTCTGGGCATAGACATTTGCAGCATTTGCAGTAATAACATAACAACGGAACAATCAGTATTGACAGAATTGTAACTATGGTTATAAATTGTATTCACATTTACTTATCTGGACATGGTCCTCTTAGCTTCGGCTGTGTGTACACTAGTCAGCTTCCGGGATGTGACTAGAGCAGAGTTTGAAGAATCCTTAAGCTTCAGCCATGCTTAGACTGACCAGCCTCCAGTGTGGTCAGAGCAGGGCGGTTGTCCTTTTTACCGGTGGCTGAGATTTGCCATAGGGCTATTCGAGTGGGGCAATCTGGGTCTTGTTGGCTAATCCACAGGTTGTCATCACGACTCGCTACTGTCACTGGTTTTAGATGGCTATGGTGAATCCAAGGTGTGGCACCTGCAACTTTAACAGCAGTGGGAGTAGACATGATTACAATATGGCGCCTATCGTATATGGGTCCTAGAGTGGTTGAATTCCATTTTTTACCTAAACGAAGTCCCTAGGTTTGAAAGGGTGTACTGGGTCTGTTAGACTTATAGGCATTTTTTTACATACTTAACCATGCATTTTAGTATAGCCATACTTAAAGCCTGCATTTGCCTTCTTAAAGTTAGTTTTCCCAATTTACAGAGATTACCCTGAATCTGATTTTTCTGGGGGGTGGGCAGCTGAACAAAATCTCAGAGGGCGAATACTCAGTTTTTTGGTGGGGGTGCACCTGACTCATAAGAGGACCATGGGCAAGACCTGATATTACTTCAGATGAGTTTTTCGACAAAATTTCTTCAACAGCTGCTTGAGTGTCCAGTTTATGCTCTCCACTTTACCTGAGATCTGCTACCTGTAGGCTGTATGTTATTTCCATTTTATTTTTAATAGTCGAGTTAAGTCCTGAACTATTTTAGCCACAAATGTTGGTCCATTCTCTGATCTTAGAGTTAGAGGCAGCCCAAATCTGGGAACAATGTCTCTTAACGCCTTGGTCACGTCTAGTGCCCTCTCTGTCCTGGTGGGAAAGGCCTTGAGCTATCCTGAAAAGGTGCAAATGAACACCAATATGTACTGATAGCCCCCGTCTCAGGGTCATTCAGTGAAGTCCATTAGCAGTTTTTCACAGGGCATGGCTCCTTTTTCCTGAACTCCCATGGGCCGAGTAGGATCTTGTCGTGGATTGTTCCGAGTGTAAGTTAAACACAGTTTACAAATGGCCCGAGTAATAGCAATGAGCCATGGCAGATAAAAATGATGCCTTAATAATGTCTTTATTTTTTTTTTAATCTGAGTTCGGTGGTGGAATTGTTTTACAAATCTGGGGGTCACCATTTCAGGTATGGCTAGCCTCCCATTGAAGAATTTGTATTATCCTCTTTCAATGTAGTTCTTATTTTCCTGGGGAAGCCAAGCTCTGTTATTTGGAGTGAAGATTGGGATCTCCAGGAGGGGAATCTCCGGGAGGAGAGGCATAGCTAAGGCATCTTCTTTAGGTGGAGTTGTCATTGCAGCCTTCTTTGCCTCTTTGCCTTCGTATCTTTTTTAGCCCTTAGTGTTCTTGCTTTTTGCTGCCTCTTGCAGGACTTCACTACCGTCACTTTTGGGGCCCATACAGCGTTTAAGAGCTGTAGGATTTCTTCCTTGTACTTTATTTCTTTGTTTCCGCAGTTAAAAGTCTTCTTTTTTTCTTTGTAAATAACCTTATGAACATGCAAAGTGGCAGAAGCATATTTGGAACCTGTATAAATATTGGTCTTTTGGTCTTTTGCTAGCCAGAGAACTCTTGTCAGAGCTCTTAGTTCTGCTTTCTAATCAGAAGTTTCTGTAGATGAAGACTGCACCTCTACTGTTGAGTCTAAAGTCACCACTGCATACACAGCTTGGCGGGCTCCTTTTAGTATGAAACTGCTTCCATCAGTAGAATATTCAATGTTTGGGTCCCTGAGGGACTGATCTGTCAAATCTCTCTGGCTTGAGAACACTTCATCTACCACGTCCACACCACAATGAAACGGTCCTCCTGGCACTGACTCGATGAGAGTAAGGTAGCCGGATTTAGGGTATTCACAGTCTCTAAAGTTAGTTTACTAGCTTCCTGCACCAGTACGGCAGTGGCTGCTAGTGCTTTAAGACAAGGAGGCCATCCAAGTGCAACAGAATCTAATTGCCTGGATAAATATGCCACCAGGCGATGCCATGACCTTATGGCTTGAGTCAGAACCCCTATGGCCTCCCTTTCACTTGTGGACATACAAGAAGAAAAGCTTGATTAGTTAGATCTGGCAGTCCTAAAGCTGGGGCCTGAGTCAAGGCTTCTTTGATTTCTTTAAAATCCTTCTCCTCTTTGGCCTCCTAGAGGAGGGGCTCCTTTTTTCCTCCTCTTAGTGGCTTGGTATGATGGCTTGACCATGAGCAAGAAATTTGGGTTGTAAACGCGGCAGAACCTTGCTGCTCTTAGAAACTCTCTTACTTGACACCGGGTGGTTGGAGTAGAAAGTGCACAAACAGCCTGCTTTTTTTCAGGACTAAGCCATCTTTCCTCTTGGCTTATATAAAAGCTTAAATATTGACACTTTTAGAGGAGATTTGAGCTTTTTTCTGACACTTTTTATTCTGCCTTCTACAGCAGGTGCAGTGGTTCTTGGGTTTCTTCTGCGTGTAGTAGCCCTTGGCTGGTGTGTGTGTGTGATTTTTTGGTTCTGTTTTTTTGGGTTTTTTTGGTTTGTTTTTTGTTTCTTTTACTATTGCCCTGATCATTTTCATTATTTCTTTGACATTTATGCTTCCAGTGTCTTTCCTTTTGCACCATGCACATTAATCTCTCTCTAGCCTCGGCTGGCCTTCACACTCCTGTCCAGACTAGCCTTTTTCATGACTACGTTCACGCCCGCGTCCATGCCTCCTTGTAAAGCCAGCTCCTCTTCCCGGAAGGGCTGCTGCTAGTAAGTTAGCCTTTCTTAAGCCTGTGATCAGCCTTTTCCTTTGCCTCCTCATCTCGGTTAATTAACACCTTGGTTGTCACTTTAATAAGCTGAGTAGCATTCTCGCCTACGGAGCTTGTAACTTCTGCAATTTATGCCTGATATCTCCTTGGGTCTGCCTTACAAGTGCTGGATTCACCCTGCACTGATTTTTGAGTAGCCTCAGGGTTAAACGGAGTGTACAATAAAAATGCCTCACAAAGTCTTTCATAGAACTTGCTGTGCTTTTATCTGCACCCTGAAGCATGTCTGAGATTTTTAAAAATATTGATTGCCTTTTTCTTTTACCATCCTTTAGCCTTTGCAGATGGGCTTCTCGGCACCTTTGTAGGTGCTGAATCTGGACTGCATCATCTGGGTCCTAGTGGGGGTCCTCCTGTCCTCTTAAGAGGCATGAGCATATCTTATGCACGACCAGACCTGAGACGGCCTGCCTGATTTTCGCTCTCATTTCACCTTCTCGGGTGAGACTGGCAGCATGTATCCATTTGAACTTAACTCCTTAGGGACAGTTACCTTGGTAAAGGGGGTAGATTGGAATGTAAGGAGGAGCGGTCTCTATTCTTTTCTGTGGTTGTTACAAAACCGGTTTTTCTGCCTTTTCTGAGATTTTTTCATTTGTCTTCAGCTGCTGGGGCAGCTGATTTTACTTTCACTTTTGGCTGGGAGGTGCTACAAGCCTCTGTGTCTCCTTTTAACTCTGTAGCTGCCAGAGCAGCTGATTTTCTCTTGCCGTGAGCTGCGAGCATTCTACAGTAAACTGCTAGGCAGGGCTGCATTCATTTAGCCATGAGTCAATATAAAGACTAGGTCTGAATGTCCTGGCTGTTCTCTGACCCTAGTCACCACCTTAAAACACACGGCCAATTTTTCTATAGTGCCTTTGGCAAGCCATCTGACACTAAAACAGGGCTATTCTAATTCACAGTATGTCCTTAACTTTTGAACACTCAGTTTCATCCTATAATCACTTCTAACTCTTTTTTTAAAATTCTTTATTATGCTTTTCAAAGGAGCCACTTTTGATGTTTTCACTCTCATTTCCTCTCTTGCAGTTCACTTTCACTCTGACTTTCACTCTTGAGTCCACCAGACCTGGTCCTATTGCGGGAGTTTCAGATGCTGCTTAGCCAGGACCATGCCTTCCCCTGTCGCAGACTGCTGCAGCTGTAAAGCTGGTACTATCAGCCATATGAAGCATCTTAGGTCTGATTTTCCCCACATTCGCCTCAGAGCACACAGCCACCACTAAGGGATCTGTGCCTCCCCATGTCGCTGCCCACATTGGCCTCTCCCAATGTAACAGGAAGAGCTGCAGACAAAACCCCTTGGACACTGAGTTAAAGAAAGAAGGTGTTTATTCACCTGGGAGCTTCAGCAAGACTTCTTTCCCAAGAGCTGAACCGTCCGAGTGAGCAATTCCTGTCCCTTTTAAGGGCTCACAACTCTAAGGGGGTCCGCATGAGAGGGTCACGATCTATTGAGCAAGCAGTGGGTATGTGACTGGGGGATGCATACACTGGTAATTAGAAAGGTACTGAACAGGACAGGGATCTTCACAGTGCATTTTTTATGCAAATAACCGATTAGGTCAGGGGTTGACCTTTAACTACCAGGCCCAGGGTGTGGCGCTGGGCTGTCTGCTTGTGGATTTCATTTCTGCCTTCTAGTTTTTACTTCTTCTTTCTTTGGAGGCAGAAATTGGGTATAAGACAATATGAGGGTTGGTCTCCTCCCTTATTTTCCCCCTTTGAGACTCTCACTCATTTTATTAGTGGGAGTTCTCACCTTCTTCCTCACTACCTATGTCTTCCTCTATCACAGATTGATAGTGATTCATGTAGTACACTCGTGCTGAAGCGTTCTGGTGAACTAGAGTTGCCATGAAAACTTTTACCACTTGAATGAGTACAGCTAGTAAGCAAGAGATCAGTAAGCAGGTTCCTATTACTACTATAGTTTCCATTATAAGAGTTTTAAATCCTTCTAGTGCCGGGAACCATTTTCAAACATGGCCTCAGTGTCAAATCGGTGCCACACCTGTACTGGCACATGTGCCAGTTTCATCATGTCTTTAACTATATCTTCGACTACTTGCCCCTGATCATCTATGTGCAGACAGCAAGTGGGCCTAATTACAGTCATTAAATTGGGCCTAATTACAGTCACAATCAATTTACTAAAATAACCAGACAGCAAGACAGGTTTCCAAACATTGGCAAATGTTTCAGGGAGAAAAAAATGCCCCACTAGAGAAGCATGGTTGTATCTCTGTGTGTACATACACACGGGGCCAGGCAGTTCTATGCATGATAGTCTGGGACTGTAAAAGTGACTATGCAAACCTTTACATTCTGTCACAGAACTTACAATTTAAAGTGAGCATCTTTTTCTGTGACTTAGAAATTGACTTTTTTTTTTTAGTTGGGAGCCACTTTTAGCAATTTTCCCTTTGTTGATACATAATAATAGTATATATTTGTGGTGCATGAGTGATATTTTGATACATGCATGCAATGTACAGTGATCAAATCAGGGTAATTAGAATATCCATCACCTCAAACATGGATATTATTTTCTTTGTGTTTGAAAAATTTCCTTTGTGTTGGGAGAATTTAAAGCCATCTCTTCTATCTATTTTAAAATATACTAAAAATTAGTGCTAACTGTAGTTATCCTACTGTGCTGTCAGACACTAGAAATTATTCCTCCTATGATAAAAAGTTTAGGCTGTATCCCATGGGTAGTAGGACACCACATGACTGAGTGGTCATCTGGGAAATTATCTGGATGACTTTGGAACATTCCTGGTTGAGCCAGGTGGCTGTTGCAACAAACTGTGGGGAAGCCCCTCCCCTAATGCCCCCTAAGCCAGCTGTCACTACATGGCAGGAAACCTCCAAACCTGAGGGCCCCAGGAAACAATGACAGTCCCCACTCACATGCAACTTGTGCTGTGCTCAGTGCCCTCCACATTGAGCCTGATCTAGCTTTACCCGAGGGCTGTGAGGTGGGACAATCAGTATCCCTTTATTTTAAAAGGCTCAGTGAAGTTTTGGGCTTAATGTGAGTGAAGTGATCCTAAAAGCTGACTCTGGGATCCCGGCTCCACCACTGACCAGTCCTGCAGGTGGCGAGAGTTGCCTCTCCTCCCCTCGATTTCATTTTGTCCTCTGTGAAGTGCAGCCGTGCTGATGACTCACATATCAGGGATACATGGGAACTGTCAATGAACGGAGTGCTCTACACAGTGCCTGGAGCTCAGAATGCAGATGAGGGAGGAGGGTGAGCCATAATTCTGAGGGAAGTCCCAACATAATTTAGCCCTTCCATCTAGTAGCCGGGCCCCAGTACAGAGTCCTATGTCAGTGACAGGGCAAACTGAGACCAGCTCAAACACAGCCTCTTCCTCAGCAGCAGGGCCCAACTAAGGCACTTGGTGTTTTGGTTCATTTCCTGCAGCTTCAATGTAAAGAATATTGTGAGACATTTGCTGGAACAACTGAAAATCAGAAGAAGAAGAGACAGCTCTTCTCCATCTCCCTGAGAGCTCTTCCCCAGAATGTGTTTATCCAGAGAGGAGGGGAAATATTTATTTTTCGTAAATAGTAAATGCTAGAGTCGAATATTATATGAAAATCTCATTCTACTACAAAATCGGAGTTGTGGTTGTGGTTCTTTTTATTTCACTTGTGTAAGCTTAAATGAGATACAGACTCTAACATTTCTCCTTGAATTATGAAATCCTAAAGAGTCGGCAGCATAATGTATGAGGAAGAAGAGAAAAGCAGTCATAGTTTCTGGCTGCCGGATAAGACACCCAGGTCCATTTTTCTCAGAGCATATGTTCATTTTAATATTAACCCAAGGAAAGAGTGAAGATAGATCATTCGAACTTGCAGAATTAATAATTTGAAGGTATTTTCACAAAGCATAGCGACAGTCTTGGAAATATAGATTTCTTTAAAAAGCAGTTGCAGAGATCAGGAGGATGAATACCTTTCTATGATTTTACAAAAAATAAATCAACTTCTGCTTCACTTGCTGAGGTTTCCTCTAAGCAACTATTAGGACATTGTTGTTTTTTCTTCCAACTCTGGAGTTGCATCAGGTCTATGTGGAAAAAAACATTATAAAATAAAATGACCAAAGTCAAAAGGAGAAGGCCAGGGAAAGTCTATTGACAATGGATGCAGGGCAGAAAGGAAGCTGCATTCTCAATCTTCTTCTGGTGTCCTGTGATTGAGCCTTTACCTTAGATGTAAATCCTCCCAGAGTTTTGTCTCTTACCTTAGAATTTCTATTCTTTTTTTAAGTTAGTTTCTTATCTAGAATGAAAGAATTGTAATGCCACTTTATGGCTACACCTGGGCCTTATTCTGTAAATATTTTTACTACCTATGAGGTAAAATTCCCAGCATTAGGGCAATTCTTTATCCAATTTTTTCTTTCTGAGACAGAGTCTTGCTGTGTCACCCAGGCTGGAGTACATTGGTAAAATCTTGGCTCACTGCGATCTCCACCTCCTGGGTTCAAGAGATTCTGCTGCCTCAGGCTTCTGTGTAGCTGAGATTACAGGCACCCAGCTTCATGTCCAGCTAATTTTTGTACGTTTAGTATGTTTAGCAAATTTTGTATTTTTAGTTTCACTATGTTTGTCAGGCTGGTCTTGAACTCCTGACCTCCAATAATCTGCCCGCCTTGGCCTTCCAAAGTGCTGGAATTACAGGTGTGAACCAATTCTTTTTGAGGAATAAATTACCTAAAGGTCCTCAAGCCTTTCTGTCAGGCATATCTTGGCCTTTTCTCTCTGACTGGGGTCCGATGAATCACAGGTGGGCACTATTTTTCTATATTCCCAACCAGTGATAATCCTTGCGCTCTTTATTTCTAATTAAAAGAAATCCAAAATGGAGATAGTTATTTGAGAGGTCTCTAAAGACAACTAGGAGGACATGAGGAGTTGAATTAATACTCATACACACCCAGGTGGAATTTTACCTGTTCGAACTGGGAAAATTACAGATGTCCTAAAAAGGCAACTGCATTTGACTTGGATTGTTTATACTGAGCCTGATCACAAACCTCCTGGAGAGAAAGCTGTGCTGAATTAAGCTGATGATTGCCTAGATACAGTCTAAGCTGGCAATCAAACATTGTCCATCATAGACTGTGCTAAAATCTTTCACTTGTGTAAACTTGCAGTAAAACTTTATAAGTCCCTCCCTAACCTCATCTGAATGGAACATGATATAGCTTCTTGCTAAATTTGTGTCTCCCAAATAGCAATTTATAAAAAATCATGATTAAAATGCCTTTTATTTTATTTTCCACAGGGTCTGTTTTACTCCCATGTTATAAAATGCTTTTCTCAAGAAAGCATAGAGCCCATTCTCTTCTCTAGAGAGAATCGCAGCCTTGCAAAAGAGACAACTAAAAATACATACATATAAGTATCAAGAATTTAAAACTCAAAATATTAAATATGTTACAAAAGTATATAAGCAATAGAATAAATAGGATGAATAGCAAAATGGATAAAATCAACTGTGAGTTGAAAGCCTGAAAGTTCAGGTGAAGGTGTTGAAAATGCTTCAGAAAAAACTAAAGAGATAAATATTTATAAAAATAAAGAGCTGGGCTCAGTGGCTCACACTTGAAATTTCAGCTGCTAGGGATGCTGAGGCCAGAGGATCAATTAAGGCCAGAAGTTTGAGACAAGCCTAAGCAAGACCTTGTCACTGAAAATGTTTTAAAAATTATTTTGACATTATAGCATGTAACTGTGGTCTCAACTACTTAGAAGGCTGAGGCAGGAGGATTACTTGAACTCAGGAAGTTGAGGTTACAGTGAACTATAATCATGCTACCGTACTCCAGCCTGGAGTGAGGCAAAATCTAGTCACATTAAAATAAAATAAAACAAAATAAAATAAAATAAAATAAAATAAAATAAAATAAAATATAATCTAGTCACGTTAAAATAAAGTACAATTATCAAGGACAAAAATAAAATTGTACAACTTGGCAATAGAAAAAAAATAGAGCATAGAGCAACTGGGGGAAAGGGGGTTGAAAGTATAATTTCCTTTTTATTTCCTTAGTTGGTCATTACTTAGACTTTTTCACTTAATTAAAATTTTCTTATACTTTGGTGCCCAGTTAACCCCAGAGCATTTTTAATTAATTGGTTTAGAGGTAGATACTCATATAAGCTTTCCACTGCAAATTACAAGAGCCAAATTTTAAATAAATGTTGGACCTCTAAATTTTCTATTTGCAATATTTAAGGAAATAAAAATTATAAAAAACACTTTGTAAAACATTTAGTATGTAACTGCTGTTTCTAATGTATAATAAATCCAATTATGGCAGAGACTCACTCTGTTGTTGAGAATCTCTCCATTATATGACTGCTGCTTGTGGTGCTTAAACCTCAGGAAGAAAGAATATATGAATGTCTGAACATTGCTTTAAAAAGACAATGTACATTTAATGTAGAGATATGTGACCAGCTTAGAAAGCTGCACTTTTTCCACAGCAGGCAAACCAGAGCCTGGATACCCCAGGGTCACAGCTCATGAGAACATAGGGCTGGACTGTGAGAAAACAAGAAGCAATTCGTGCAGAGGAGTTGACAAGACACCAACTGGGCTGAGAAAAAAGAGCTGATAGATTAATTTCCAAATTATACTACAAAACATACAATAAGCAGACCCCATAGCTTTATACATTAAAACCAAATGATGACAAAGAGTGAGGATTGCATTAAATTAAATTAGGAGCAACTAAAGACTGGTTTATGATCTTGAAACTTTAGTCACTCTCCATAGTTCCATCCCATGACCCGGTAATTATTTCCTGCTTTCTGCATGCCTTGGACACTGGTCCATTTCTGGCCCCAAAGTGTTCCTTTTTCTAATAAGAGTACTTACTTCATCTCTTAATACAATTCCTTTCCTTGCATACTGTGCCCCAAAGAAGAAATATTAAAAACTTTCCTGATGTTTTTCTGCTGCGGGGTTAATGGGCTCAGAGTGATGATAAGAACGGCCAATGAGTGTGTGGAGCCAGATAGTGCTTAAAATATGGACTTCAGTCCAGTGAAGTCTAACAAGATTGGCACCTGAGCACTCTTCTCTGAGACCTGAGGATGGACTCACTGAACCTGGAGCTACTAACGCAGCTGATACCCACATATATACACCACCTGTGTTCCTAGAAACTGGCCTTCCCAGCCCATCACAGCAAACACCAACACCAGCATGGAACGCTTGGGAGTCAGAGGTTTTTCTTGTCGTTGCTACTGCCATCATCCATGCCATAACCACTGTCCAGGGGCTCAAGAAGCTGCCCACCCACCTTGCTCACTGCTGACACCTGAGCAAATCACATGAAGGCCAAATAATTAGTCTTCCTGGACCTGTTAACACTGCTGCCAGCATAACTGCCTTGAGACCCAAAAGCAGGCATGGTAAGCTCACCACTGCCACCACTGGGATCCAATGACTAAACCTCTGGTGCCCCTATTCCCAGCAAAACTTTACCACAGCCTCTGCTAAAAACGATACCCTAAGCCACTGAGAAAGGTACAGACACCACTGATACTCTTTACAGCCAAAGAAATCATATAAAGACAGGCCGGGTATTGTGGCTCATGCCTGTAATTCCAGCACTTTGGGAGGCCAAGGCCAGTGGCTCGCTTGAGGCTAAGAGTATGATACCAACCTGGGGAACATGTCAAAACCCTGACTCTACTAAAAACACACAAATTTGCTGGGCATAGTGGTAGGCACCTGTAATCCCAGCTACTTGGGAGACTGAGGCACGAGAATCGCCTGAACTCAGAGGTGGAGCCTACAGTGAGCCGAGATAGTGCCACTACACTCCATCCTGGGCAACAGAGCAAGGTTCTATCTTAAAATATATACACATACAGAGTTTAAAGTCTGTGCTCTCCTCTCCTCAGCTGCCTTGTGACTGTGTAAGTGTATGTTTGGGAAGGGAGGGATAGGATGAGGACAGGCCAGCAGAGAGTCACCAGCACTGGCTAAAGGTCTCAGACCAAATTTTATACTCTTGACCAGGAGAAACTTCTCTGTTATTCTAATCACATTAAACTCAAGCATTTTCTTTTTTTCTTTCTTTTTTTTGAGAAATCACATCGAACTTCCAAAATTATAAAGTTGAAAATATGTAATAATTGACAATTGGAAACAAGAAAGAGGATTAGCTATAAAAATAACTCAGGACAATGTATTTATCATGAAAAGATGGTCTTGGTGGAAGAAAGTTTCATGCCCAGCCAGCCCATTCTTCAATATCTGCTAAAAAAAAAAAGAGCAAAGGGAACTTAAAGACATCATAGACTTGGAAATTTCGTCTCACAGTGCATTAAATTCCCAAATCACATGTGGAAGAGAAGAAGCTGCTGCATATTAGACTAACTAGTTTTACTGAATGTTGTCTGTTGATTTAAAAATTAATACTCTTATCAAGAGCAAATTGAAATACTGAAAGTTATTTACTAAACAGCAAAGAATATTTTCAGTATATAAAAAGATTTAAAAAAACGTTGACACCTTAACTAAATCTGACACAAATTTAAAAGGAAAAGTAACTAGAAAATGAAAGAAGCGTTGTACAAGTATGCGATGCACCCTCTGTTGCACCAACTGCTCCTGTTTGTTGAGTCCCCTCTTCTATTCTGCCTCCTCCATCTCCTTGCTGATTCCCCTTTTTGTCTATTTTAATTTCTCTCTCTATTCCTTTCTCAGGTCACCATGTCACATTCCTTTTGTGTCTTTTGATGTCCAATCTCACCGACACCACCTTCATTCTCTATTTTATCTTTACAAATGGTTAATTAGGCATAAAGAGGGAAAACACTCCTGGGAAGATACCTGAATCCTGGTGCACACTATCATTATCACTGTTTTTCATGTTGATGCTCATGTGTCTCTGCTTTCTCGACAGACTATTTAATCAGCAGACAGATCAACAGGCCAAAATTTCCACCATAGTTGCAAATTTGAATGCGGATGAATGGATTAAAACACATTCAAGTCTTGCAATGAACGGCATAATGTATGGTGGTATAATTCAGAGTGGTTACAGGGGAGAGTTAAAGATCATTGTATACAATATCACTCGAGAATCTTTTGCTGTAAAACTGCAGATGTGGGTTCCTCAATTTTTAGTGGTACCTTGTCAACAATTAACCCCTGAGGATGTCTCTGCCCCAACAGAGGCTACATACAGAACTGGGAGATTCAGACGCACTGGTACACGTAGCTTAAATCCTGGAGCCAAAATATGAGTACAGCGTCCATCACATCCTACTCCTATGGCTGGTGAACTTGTAGCTATGGGAGAAGAAACTGAAGGCATAGTACAGTTTCCTAAAGATGAAAAACAATATTATGTTCCCCTCTGTTTTGGTTATTACAGAGAATAACCTGTTTACTAATGGTCAGTACCTGTGTCTCTGTGTCTGATGCCAAGAATAAATTCATCATCTGCATAGCCACCACTGCAACAGAAGCCAACTGCAGTCAATGTTGGCTATGCGTGGAATTGCCAGAGGCCACCAAAAATGGGCTACGTTGGAGAATCGTCCCTGTACCTTACTGCATACCGAATGTTGTGTGTATATCCCTGACAATTCTCACACTACGACTCTCCTTGCACAGCCATGGTGGGTGTGGTTTTCATTAACTGTGCTTTTAATTCTCCTGTGCTTACACTGAATCTGTAATCTGTATAAAGTATGCTTTCCCCAAGTATCTGTAAGGGTATTTTCCTACAATTGAGTATCAAATTGAAGCCAAATTTGGAAGAAAAGTTAAATACTCAATTTTATCTCAATTGAACATGGACACAAACAATGGTCACCAAGTCCCGGAACAGGTTCTGTGAGTTTCTTCAGGCGTTCATCCACCAGTGTCTCAGAGAAATTTCTATTTTAATCTGTTCCTGTATGTTAGTTATTGAAAAACAACAGACAATCGCCAAAAATTTGACATTTTTGTGGTTTTTGAGCCCAGTAGTGAAGAGTCCTCGTTACCCGGCCTTATGCCAAAGAACTCCTTACAAAAAGAGCTAGGGTCCCAGATGGCACTAGAGCTTCCTGAGACCTCTCCCCATCTCTGCAGGGATGAGGGGCCAACTCTGTAGCCCAGGCTGTTGCTTCCCGGTCTGTTGATGAATCCTCCATAGTCTGGTGAGTGTAGTGTCTGACTCTGGAGCCCAGGCTATTGCTTCTCTGTCTGGTGATGCTTCCTCCATACTCTGTAGTCTGCTGTGTGTAAACATATGTATATATATATATATATACATATATATGTATATAATTTATACATATAACTGTAAATAAAAATAATTATATAATTATGTACATAATTATTTAAATAAATAAATGTAAATAAATACATATATAATTATATATATATAATATATATATTTATATATATAAAAAATATATATATTTTTTCCCTTCTCATATCAATTTGCTTATCATATCATTTACTTATTATATCTGTATTGCCATATAATTGAGACAAAAGATGTTTACCCTTAAAAGTATTGTGTGTGCCTTTTCTTCTTCCTCATGGATCTCCCATGCAGAACACATGCCTGACAAATTTTTATATTTTTAGTGGAGACTGGGTTTAGCCATGTTGGCCAGGCTGATCTCAAACTCCTGACCTCAGGTGATCCTTCCATCTCGGCATCCCAAAGTGCTGAGATTATAGGCATGAAACACCCAGCCAGGAGGAGGCATTTCTACAAAGAAAACATACAAATGGCAAACAGACATATAAATGTTGCTAAACATCATTAAACCTCAGAGAAATGCAAATCAGAACTACAATAAGACATTATCTCACTCCAGTTAAAATGTCTTATATCCCAAAGACAGACAATAACAAGTGCTGACGAGGATGTGGAGAAAACTTTAGTGCACTCTTGGTGGGAATGTAAATTAGTATAACCACTATAAAAAAGTGTGGAGGTTCCTCAAAAAGCTAAAAATTGAGCTGCCACAGCTACAATGCAACCCAACAATCCCAGTGATGGGCATTGACACAAAAGAAAGAAAATCGGCTTGTTGCTGCACTGTTTACAATAGCTAAGATTTGAAAGCAAACTGTCTACAAATGAATGAATGTATAAAAAAAGTAGTACATATATACATTGGAGTAGTATTCAGCCATAAAAATGAGATTTTGTCTTTTACGACAACGTGGATAAAAGAGAAGAGTATGTTAAGTGAAATAAGCCAGGCACAGAAAGATAAACACTGTGCGTTCTCACTTATTCGTGGGATGGAAGAATTAATACAACTGAATTCACGGACATAGAGAGCAGAAGGATGGTTTTCAGAAGCTAAGAAAGACAGTGGAGGCTGGGGGAAAGGTGGGGACTGTTAATGTGTACAAAAAAATAGAATAAATAAGACATATTATTTGATAGCACAACGAGATGACTCTGGTCAATAATAATGTAATTGTACATTTTAAACTAGCTAAGAAGGAATAATCAGATTTTAACCCAAAGAATAAATGCTTGAGTGGGTGGGTATCCCATTCTCTATGATGTGATTATTATGCATTGCGAGACCGCATCAAAACATCTCATGAACCCCATAAGTATATACACCTACAATGCATCCTCAAAAATTACAAATTAACTGAAGTAAATAAAATAAAACTATTTAAAAATAAAATATCATAACATTAACTAGCCCCAGAAATATAAGATTTTAATGAAATAAAAATGCCTCTATAATAATCAAACAGTGAGAAGAAAGTCACACTTTACTCCTATTTTTGTTTCTGATCTATCTTCTATCTAGTTTCAAGTTGTAGAATTTTCTTTTTTCATTTCTAATTAAATTTTATTTTATTTTATTTTTTTATTATACTTTAACTTTTACGGTACATGCGCACAACATGCAGGTTTGTTACATATGTATACATGTGCCATGTTGGTGTGCTGCACCCAGTAACTCGCCATTTAACATTAGGTATATCTCCAAATGCTATCCGTCCCCCCTCACCCTACCCCACAACAGGCCCCGGATTGTGATGTTCCCCTTCTTCTGCCCATATGTTCTCTTTGGTCAATTCCCACCTATGAGCGAGAACATGCGGTGTTTGGTGTTTTGTGCTTGGATAGTTTGCTCAGAATGATGGTTCCAGCTTCATCCATGTCCCTATAAAGGACATGAACTCTTCATTTTTTATGGCTGCATTTTGTTCCATGGTGTATATGTGCCACATTTTCTTAATCCAGTCTATCATTGTTGGACATTTGGGTTGGTTCCAAGTCTTCGCTATTGTGAACAGTGCCGCAATAAACATACTTGTGCTTGTGCCTTTATAGCAGCATGATTTATACTCCCTTGGGTGTATACCCAGTAATGGGATGGCTGGGTCAAATAGTATTTCTAGTTCTAGAGCCCTGAGGAATCGCCACACTGACTTCCACAATGGTTGAACTAGTTTACAGTCCCACCAACCGTGTAAAAGTGTTTCTATTTCTCCACATCCTCTCCAGCACCTGTTGTTTCCTGATTTTTTAATGATCGCCATTCTAAGTGGTGTGAGATGGTATCTCATTGTGGTTTTGATTTGCATTTCTCTGATGGCCAGTGATGATGAGCATTTTTCCATGTGTCTTTTTGCTGCATAAATGTCTTCTTTTGAGAAGGGTCTTCATATCCTTCACCCACTTTTTGATGGGGTTGTTTTTTTCTTGTAAATTTGTTTGAGTTCGTTGTAGATTCTGGATATTAGCCCTTCGTCAGATGAGTAGATGGCACAAACTTTCTCCCATTCTGTAGGTTGCCTGTTCAGTCTGATGGTAGTTTCTTTTGCTGTGCAGAAGCTCCTTAGTTTAATTAGATCCCATTTGTCAATTTTGGCTTTTGTTGCCATTGCTTTTGGTGTTCTAGACATGAAGTCCTTCCCCATGCCTATGTCCTGAATGGTATTGCCTAGGTTTTCTTCTAGGGTTTTTACGGTTTTAGGTCTAACATTTAAGTCTTGAATCCATCTTGAATTAATTTTTGTATAAGGTGCAAGGAAGGGATCCAGTTTCAGCTTTCTACATACGGCTAGCCAGTTTTCCCAGCACCATTTATTAACTAGGGAATCATTTCCCCATTTCTTGTGTTTGTCAGGTTTGTCAAAGATCAGATGGTTGTAGATATGTGGCATTATTTCTCAGGGCTCTGTTCTGTTCCATTGGTCTATATCTCTGTTTTGGTACAAGTACAATGCTGTTTTGGTCACTGTAGCCTTGTAGTATAGTTTGATGTCAGGTAGCGTGATGGCTCCAGCTTTGTTCTTTTGGTTTAGGATTGACTTGGCAATGAGGGCTCTTTTTTAGTTCCTTATGAACTTTAAAGTAGTTTTTTCCAATTCTGTGAAGAAAGTCTTTGGTAGCTTGATGGGGATGGCATTGAATCTATAAATTACCTTGGGCAGTATGGCCATTTTCACGATATTGATTATTCCTACCCATGAGCATGGAATGTTCTTCCATTTGTTTGTATCCTCTTTTATTTCATTGAGCAGTGGTTTGTAGTTCTCCTTGAAGAGGTCCTTCACGTCCTTGTAAGTTGGGTTCCTAGGTATTTTATTCTCTTTGAAGCAATTGTGAATGGGAGTTCACTCACGATTTGGCTCTCTGTTTGTCTGTTATTGGTGTATAAGAATGCTAATGATTTTTGCACACTGATTTTGTATCCTGAGACTTTGCTGAAGTTGCCTATCAGCTTAAGGAGATTTTGGGCTGAGATGATGGGGTTTTCTAGATATACAATCATGTCATCTGCAAACAGGGACAATTTGACTTCCTCTTTTCCTAATTGAATACCCTTTATTTCCTTCTCCTTCCTGATTGCCCTGGCCAGAATTTCCAGCATTATGTTGAATAGGAGTGGTGAGAGAGGGCATCCCTGTCTTGTGCCTGTTTTCAAAGGGAATGCTTCCAGCTTTTGCCCATTTAGTATGATATTGGCTATGGCTTTGTCAGAGATAGCTCCTATTACTTTGAGATACGTCTCATCAATTCCTAATTTATTGAGAGTTTTTTGCAGGAAGAGTTGTTGAATTTTGTCAAAGGCCTTTTCTGCATCTCTTGATATCTCAAGATAATCACATGGTTTTTTTGTCATTGGTTCTGTTTATAAGGTGGATTACGTTTGTTGATTTGTGTATGTTGAACCAGCCTTGCATCCCAGAGATGAAGCCCACTTGATCATGGTGGATAAGCTTTTTGATATGCTGCTGGATTCGGTTTGCCAGTATTTTATTGAGGATTTTTGCATAGATCTTCATCGGAGATATTGGTCTAAAATTCTCTTTTTTTGTTGTGTCTCTGCCAGGCTTTGGTATCAGGATGATGCTGTCCTCATAAAATGAGTTAGGGAGGTTCCCTCTTTTTCCATTGATTGGAATAGTTTCAGAAGGAATGGTACCAGCTCCTCCTTGTACCTCTGGTAGATTTTGGCTGTGAATCCATCTGGTCCTGGACTTTTTCTGGTTGGAAAGCTAATTATTAATTATTGCCTCAATTTCAGAGCCTGTTATTGGTCTATTCAGAGATTCAAATTCTTCCTGGTTTAGTCTTGGGTGGGTGTATGTGTCGAGGAATTTATCCATTTCTTCTAGATTTTCTAGTTTATTTGCATAGAGGTGTTTATAGTATTCTCTGATGGTAGTTTGTATTTCTGTGGGATCGGTGGTGATATCCCCTTGGGTTTAATAAACAGATAACATCAAACATTCAACTAATCCAATAAAAAGAAATTTTATTCATTTGAGAATGTGTTTTCCAGAGCATACTTATATATTACGTTTTAACTTCATAATTTATATTTTATAAAAACATAACTAATTCAAGTTAATCTTCTCTAATTTTTAATTCAATTGAATTTTTATCAGGATCACTATATTTAAACAAAAATTACCTGAATTTTTCACATCATAATTTATAGATTCTGCTTCTACAAATTGTCTGTAGGGACCATTATTTCTACACGGTCTACTTTCCTGGGTTAAGTGGTGGATACCCAAATGTTTTTTGGAATAATGTTTTCTTATATCAGTTTTTAGTCAGTGATACGTTGCACCATGTTTAATTTTAAGCATTATCAGTTTTCTTTTTTTTTTTTAATTGATCATTCTTGGGTGTTTCTCGCAGAGGGGGATTTGGCAGGGTCACAGGACAATAGTGGAGGGAAGGTCAGCAGATAAACAAGTGAACAAAGGTCTCTGGTTTTCCTAGGCAGAGGACCCTGTGGCCTTCCGCAGTGTTTGTGTCCCTGGGTACTTGAGATTAGGGAGTGGTGATGACTCTTAAGGAGCATGCTGCCTTCAAGCATCTGTTTAACAAAGCACATCTTGCACCGCCCTTAATCCATTCAACCCTGAGTGGATACAGCCCATGTTTCAGAGAGCACAGGGTTGGGGGTAAGGTCACAGATCAACAGGATCCCAAGGCAGAAGAATTTTTCTTAGTACAGAACAAAATGAAAAGTCTCCCATGTCTACCTCTTTCTACACAGACACGGCAACCATCCGATTTCTCAATCTTTTCCCCACCTTTCCCCCCTTTCTATTCCACAAAACCGCCATTGTCATCATGGCCCATTCTCAATGAGCTGTTGGGTACACCTCCCAGACGGGGTGGTGGCAGGGCAGAGGGGCTCCTCACTTCCCAGTAGGGGTGGCTGGGCAGAGGCGCCCTTCACCTCCCGGACGGGGCGGCTGGCCAGGCTGGGGGCTGACCCCCCCACCTCCCTCCTGGACAGGGCGGCTGGCCGGGCGAGGGGCTGACCCCCTCACCTCCCTCCCGGATGGGGCGGCTGGCCGGGCGGGGGGCTGACCCCCCACCTCCCTCCCGGACGGGGCGGCTGACTGGGCGGGGGGCTGACCCCCCCACTTCCCTCCCGGATGGGGTGGCTGGCCGGGCAGAGGGGCTCCTCAGTTCCCAGTAGGGGTGGCCGGGCAGAGGCACCCCTCACCTCCCGGACGGGGCGGCTGGCCGGGCGGGGGGCTGACCCGCCCACCTCTCTCCCCCCCAGAAGGGGTGGCTGGCCGGGCGGGGGGCTGACCCCCCACCTCCCTCCCAGACGGGGCGGCTGGCCGGGCAGAGAGGCTCCTCACTTCCCATCAGGGGCTGCCAGGCAGAGGCACCCCTCACTTCCCGGATGGGGCGGCTGGCCGGGTGGGGGGCTAACCCACCCACCTCCCTCCCGGAGGAGGCGGCTGGCCGGGCGGGCGGCTGACCCCCCACCTCCCTTCCGGATGGGGTGGCTGGCCAGGCGGGGGGCTGACCCCCCCACCTCACTCCCGAACGAGGTGGCTGCCGGGCGGAGACGCTCCTCACTTCCGAGACGGGGTGACTGCCGGGCGGAGGGGCTCCTCACTTCTCAGACGGGGTGGTTGCCAGGCAGAGGGTCTCCTCACTTCTCAGACGGGGCGGCCGGGCAGAGACATTCCTCACATCCCGGACGGGGCGGCAGGGCAGAGGTGCTCCCCACATCTCAGATGATGGGCGGCCGGGCAGAGACGCTCCTCACTTCCCAGATGTGATGGCGGCCGGGAAGAGGCGCTCGTCACTTCCTAGATGGGATGGCGGCCGGGCAGAGACGCTCCTCACTTTCCAGACTGGGCAGCCAGGCAGAGGGGCTCCTCACATCCCAGACGATGGGCGGCCAGGTGGAGACGCTCCTCACTTCCCAGACGGGGTGGCGGCCGGGCAGAGGCTGCAATCTCGGCACTTTGGGAGGCCAAGGCAGGCTGCTGGGAGGTGGAGGTTGTAGCGAGCCAAGATCACGCCACTGCACTCCAGCCTGGGCACCATTGAGCACTGAGTGAACGAGTCTCCGTCTGCAATCCCGGCATCTCGGGAGGCCGAGGCTGGCGGATCACTCGCGGTTAGGAGCTCAGCCCGGCCAACACAGCGAAACCCCGTCTCCACCAAAAAAATACGAAAACCAGTCAGGCGTGGCGGCGCGCGCCTGCAATCGCAGGCACTCGGCAGGCTGAGGCAGGAGAATCAGGCAGGGAGGTTGCAGTGAGCCGAGATGGCAGCAGTACCATCCAGCTTCGGCTCGGCATCAGAGGGAGACCGTGGAAAGAGAGGGAGAGAGAGACCGTGGGGAGATGGAGAGGGTGAGGGAGAGGGAGAGGGAGAGGGAGAGCTATCAGTTTTCTTTCTTGTGCATTATTTTCACAGTAATATAAATTATGGACATCAAAATATCCTCAGGGTTAAAAACGTTGGAGTCCAAGCATTCTATATTCTTGATTTGTATGGTTTCACTTATGACTCAGCATTTTAGGAAAACATTGGCTCTATAATCTGTCACCCTCACCCCATTTAAATAAAAACATACTTTTTTGGACACAAGGATCAGGCATACACATCTACACAGTGGATCACATCATTTTTGGGGGCAAACTGAAAACTGTTTTTATACTCAAACATACTGTTGGGAAACTGTGAAATAAAAATTTCTGATGTTTGTTAAAAATTGGGAAGAAAGACATTAATACTATTGTAGTAGATTTTATGGCCATCGTAATAGGGTTCAGTTCAGAAATTGATCATAACTCTGAACACAGACAACGAAGAATTTATAGTCAATAAGCAGAATAAATCAGTGGATAAAAATTATTGAAAAACATTTGATAAAATACCAAAGGAGGAAGAGGAACTTTTTATAGCAGAAGGCTGGTTACAGGTTGGCTAAGGACTTAAATATCAAAGAAAGGGAATCACGATATTAGTAGACATAAGGGATATGTGGATTTTTACTAAACAGTATTAGCAGGATTTATGAAAGTGAGCCTCTCAAACCAGGAGCAGGGCAAGAAGTCAAGGTTGGCTTAGTCAAAAAGAGGGTTCAGTTAAGCTTGACTAACATTTGGTCATAAAGGGAGTGCTTACAAGAACCCAGATTTTTTTCCCATCTGATCTGAAAATAAATAATCACCAAAAAAGGCTTTGTTTGAAAAATGAGTGCCCACTTCACCTGAGAAAACCTCCATCTTCTTCTGTTTACCTTTGAATTTAGTGTAGAAAAAGAGCACTTGTCATCGCCACAGTTTTAATTTTGCTTTCACTCTTAAAAACAGAGAGTCAGGGCTGGGTGTGGTTGTTCATGCCTGTAATCCCAGCATTTTGGGCATGGTGATGCAAGCACACCTGTAATCCCAGCTACTTGAAAGGCTGAGGCAGGAGAATCACTTGAACCCAAGAGTCAGAGGTTTCAGTGAGCCAAAATCACACCACTGCACTCCAGCCTGGTGACAGAGTGAGACTCCATCAAACAAAACAAAACAAAACAAAACAAAACAAAACAAAACACAAAATTAGAAATTTAGTTTTATTCAAACAGCAACTTACAAACACAAAGGTTATAGTTTCTGACCCCTATTCAAGACAATTGGTTGTAACCATAAGTATTGATGGGACTTCAGGGAGATTCCTCAGATGGAGCTGATGCAGCTGTGCAAGCCACTTTGACCTTGCATCTTTCCTACTTCTTAGCCTTTGAAATGGACATGGTTGCTGGTGCAGGCTTGTGCTCCTACAGCCAGCCATATGGGACCATGAGACAGCCTACAGGATAAAAACCATCTACTGAAATATTGTAGCAAAGTGTGCCAAGAGGGTTGACTAGAAGTAGCTATGGTGTGTGGCTTTCATGAAAAGAAACAAAGAGGGAAAATAAATACAGCACCATCAACTGAAACACCCAGATATTTGCAGTGGGACTAATGAAGGAAACAGCTCAACCCATGGGAAAAAGAAGGGCATGGCAACCGCCCACCCGGGAGTAACACAGACCAAAGGGAACCTACCCTGCCCAAGGAAGTGGTGAGCAAATACGTGACCCTGAGAAACCACACTTCTCCCATGGATCTTTGCAACTCTCGGATCAGGAGATTTTCTCGTAAACTTATTCCACCAGGGCCTTTGGTCTGATACACAGAGCTGCGTGTTCCCGGCAGAACAACTGCTCAGACACAAACAGAATCGCAGGAGCTTTACATATTTTGGCTCTGAGATCTCTGGCAAAGGTGACTGCAACTCAGACAAGGTGGGAGGTTGGATCTCCGTAAATGCCCCTAGAAAGGAAGCTGAATCCATGGGCCTGAGCAGCATCAGTGGGCCCCACTTCCATGACGCCTCACAGGATAAGATCAACTGGCTTGGAATTCCATCCAGCCCCCAGCAACAGCATTGCAATTACCTGGGATGGAACAACGTTCCTGGAGGCAGGGGCTGGCTGCTATATTTGCTGTTTGGATGACTCAGCCATTCCAGCCTGGAGGTTTAGGAGAGTTAAAAAAAAAAAAAACTCATGGCAGATGGAAGAAATCCCTTAGCACGGCACATTGGCCCTCCCAAAGTTTGGCCGGACTACTTCTTGAAGTGGGACCCAGATACCTTTTTCATCTCAGAGTGGGGCCTCCTACCAGAGCCTCCAGACAGCCCCTTCCATATTCTCCGGCAGGCAGAGTTTTGATTTATTCCTGGATGCAGTGCACATTGGGAGCAGTGGGTCTTCATATTTGTTGTTTGGAGAACTCAGCCATAACAATCAGTGGGCTTAGGAGAGTCCAAACCATCCCAGGGAAGAAGGAATCCCCCAGCATAGCACAGTGGATCTGCCATAATGTGATCAGATTGCTTCTTTAAGTGGGACCTAATATGCTCTGCATCTCTGGGTGGAACTTCCCAACCAGGGCCTCCAGCAACTCCCACTGATGTTGTCTGGCTGGCAGAGGTTTAAAAACTTCCTGGGCCAGAGTTCCTAGAGAGAGGGGTTGGCCACCATCTTTGCTGTTTCAGCCACTTTGCTGTTTCAGCCTCCAGGCTTTGGAGAGCCCAATCTGATGAAGGGCAGAAATGGTACCCCGCACAGCATGGCTGATCTATGAAAGTGGGGCTAGATGGCTTAAGTGGGTCCCCAATCCTATTCCTCCTAGCTGGGTGAGACCTACCAACTGGGGTTTCCAGTCACCTCCTACAGGTGTGTTCGAGCCCTCAACATGTCTGCACCCGCCCTGGGATGGAGCTCCCAGGGAAGGGAGTGGGCTGCTATCTTTCTTGTTTCACAGCCTTCACTGGTGATACCCCCAGATACTGGAAAATCCGAGGTGACAAGAGAGTGGAGCAGATGCCCAACAAACTACAGCAGCCCCACACAAAATGGCCAAACAGTTAAAAGGAAGAGAAACAAACAAAAATCTCATTCAAAGGCCAGCAACCTCAAAGATTAAAGATAGATAGGCACACAAAGGTGAGAATCACAACAAGAATACTAAAAACTCAAAAATCAGGGTGCTCTCCCTCTCCCAAATGACCACACTACTTCTCCAGCAAGAGTTCAGAATAAGGGTGAGGCTGTGATCCCTGAAATAACAGAAGTAGACCCCAGAATGTGGATAAAAATGAACTTCACTGATCTAAAGGAGCATGCTCTAACTCAATACAAGAAAGCTAAAAATTACAATATAATATTGCAGGAGCTGACAAACAAATTAGCCAGGATAGAGAGGAGCCTAACCAACCCGATAGCACTGTAAAACACAATACAAAAATTTCATAATGCAATCACAAGTATTAATGAGGAAAGAAACTCAGAGCTTGAAGTTTGTATTTCTGAAAGAAGACATGCAGAGAAGAATAGAAAAAAAGAATGAAAGGAATAAACAAAACCTTTGAGAAATATGGGATTATGTAAAGAGACCAAATCTACAACTGATTGGTGTACTTGAAAGAGCTGGGGAGAATGGAACCAATCAGGAAAACATATTTCAGGATATCATCAATGAGAACTTCCCCAACCTTGCTACACTGGCCAACAATTCAGAAAATGGAGAGAAGTTCAGTAAGATACTCCAAGAAAAAATCATACCCAAGACACATAAACGTCAGATTCCCCAAACTTGAAATGGAAGAAAAAAAAAGAAAAAAAAGCTCAGCCGCAGAGAAAAGCCAAGTCACCTACAAAAAGAAGTTGATCAGACTAAGAGCAGAGCTGTCAGTGAGAACCCTACAAGCCAAAAGAGATTGGGGGCCAATATTTAACGTTCTTAAAGAAAATAAACTTTAAGCCAGAATTTTATATCTGGCCAAACTAAGCTTAATCTGGGGAGAAATAACATCCCTTTCAGACAAGCAAATTCCGAGTTAATTCATGAACACCAGACATGCTTTTCAAGAGCTCCTGAAGGAAGCACCAATTTGGAAAGGGAAAATTATTCCCAGCCACCACAAAAACACACTCAAGTACACAGACCATTGACACTATAAATCAACCACATAAACAAGTCTGAAAAATAAAAATAACCAGCTAGCATCAAGATAACAAGATAAAATCTACGCATAACAATACTTACCTTAAATGTAAATGGGATAAATGCCCCAGTTGAAACACACAGGGTGGCAATTGTATAAAAACCAAGACCCATTGGTATGCTCTTCAAGACACCCATCTCACATGCGGGGACACACATAGGCTAAAAATAAAGGGATGGAGGAAATTTCACCAAGCAAGTGGAAAACCTAAAAAAGCAAGGGTTGCAGTCTTACTTTCCAACAAAACAGACTTTAAAGCAACACAGATTAAAAACAACAACAACAACAACAACAAAGAGGGTCATTACATAACGGCAAATAATTCAATTCAACAAGAATTAACTATTCTAAATATATATGCACCCAACACAAGAGTACCCAGATTCATATAACAAGTTTCTAGATATCTTGAAAGAGACTTAGAACACCACACAATAATAGTGACCGACTTTAACATCCCACTGACAGTATTAGAAAGATTATTGAGACAGAAAATTAACAAAGATGTTCAGGACCTGAACTTAGCTCTGGATCAAATGGACATGATATATATTTACAGAACTCTCCACATGAAAACAGCAGAATATACATTCTTCTCATCACTACATGACACTTTCTCTGAAATTGGTCACTTAGCCAGAAGTAAAACACTCTTCAGCAAATGCAAAAGAACTGAAATCATAATAAACAGTGGCTCAGATCACAGCACAATCAAATTAAAACTCACGATGAAATAATTTACTGAAAACCATAAAATTAAATGGAAATTGAATCACCTGCTCCTGAATAACTTTTGGGTAAATAATGAAATTAAGGCAGATATCAAGGAGTTCTTTGAAACCAATGAGAACAAAGACAAAACATACCAGAATCTCTGGGACACAGCTAAGGCAGTATTAAGATGAAAATTTATGGCATTAAATGCCCACATTAAAATGCCAGAAATGTCTCAAGTTACAACTTCACAACAAAAATAACTACAGGAACAAGAGCAAAGAAGTTCTAGAGCTAGCAGAAGACAAGAAATAACCAAAATCAGACCTGAACTGATGGAGATAGGGACAAGAGAAACCATTCAACAGATCAACAAATTCAGGAGCTGTTTCTTTTTCTTTGAAAAAACCAATAATATAAATACACCAGTAGTAGACTAATAAGGAAGAAAATATCAAAAATTAAAATGAACACAATCAGAAATAATAAGGGTTACCACTGACCCCACAGAAATAAAAATAACCATCAGAAAATATCATAAACACCTCTATGCCTATAAGATAACAAATTCAGTAGAAATGGATAAATTTCTGGACACATACACCCTTCAAGAATAAACCAGGAAGAAATTGAATCCCTGAAAAGACAAACAACAGGCTCTGAAATTCAGGCAGTAATAAATAGCCTACAAACCACAAAAAGATCAGAAACACAAAGATTAAAAGCTGAAGGTTATGACATTTATGAAGAAGAACTGGTACAATTCCCACTAAAATTATTTCAAAAAACTGAAACAGAGGGCTTCCTTCCCGACTCTTTCTATGAGAGCACATCATCCTGGTACCAAAACCTGGCAGACACACAAGAAAAAAAACAAAACTTCAAAAAATTTGCAAGAAGAAAACAACCCCATCAAAAAGTGGGCGAAGGACATGAACAGACGCTTCTCAAAAGAAGACATTTATGCACCCAAAAAACACATGAAAAAATGCTCACCATCACTGGCCATCAGAGAAATGCAAATCAAAACCACAATGAGATACCATCTCACACCAGTTAGAATGGCAATCATTAAAAAGTCAGGAAACAACAGGTGCTGGAGGAGATGTGGAGAAATAGGAACACTTTTACACTGTTGGTGGGACTGTAAACTAGTTCAACCATTGTGGAAGTCAGTGTGGCAATTCGTCAGGGATCTAGAACTAGAAATACCATTTGACCCAGCCATCCCATTTCTGGGTATATACACAAAGGACTATAAATCATGCTGCTTTAAAGACACAGGCACACGTTTGTTTATTGCGGCACTATTCACAATAGCAAAGACTTGGAACCAACCCAAATGTCCAACAATGATAGACTGGATTAAGAAAATGTGGCACATATACACCATGGAATACTATGCAGCCATAAAAAATGATGAGTTCATGTCCTTTGTAGGGACACGGATTAAATTGGAAATCATCATTCTCAGTAAACTATCACAAGAACAAAAAAACCAAACACCGCATGTTCTCACTCATAGGTGGGAATTGAACAATGAGATCACATGGACACAGGAAGGGGAACATCACACTCTGGGGACTGTTGTGATGAGGGGGGAGGGGAGAAGGATAGCATTGGGAGATATACCTAATGCTAAATGTCGAGTTAATGGGTGCAGCACACAAGCATGGTGCATGCGTACATATGTAACTAACCTGCACATTGTGCACATGTACCCTAAAACTTAAAGTATAATAATAATAAAATAAAAAAAGAAAAAAAAAAACTTCATGCCAATATTTTTGATGAACATTTATGCAAACATTCTTAACAAAATAGGGGCAAACCAAATCCAGCAGCGCATCAGAAAGCTTATCCACCACAATCAAGTAGGCTCCATCTGTGGGATGCAACTTTAATTCAACGTACACAAATCAATATGTGATTTATCACATAAACAGAACTAAAGACAAAAGCCACATGATTGTCTGAATAGATGCAGATAAATCTTTGCATCCATAAAATTCAACATCCATTCTTGTAAAAACTCTCAATAAACTAGGTATTGAAAAAAACATACTTCAATATAATAAGAACCATGTATGACAAACCCACAGCCAATATCATACTGAAAGGGCAAAAGCTGAAAGCATTCCCTTTTAAAACGGGCACAAGACAAGGATGCCCTCTCTCATGAATCCTATTTCAGATAGTATTGGAAGTACTGGGCAGAGCAATCAGGTAAGAGAAAAAGGCATTCAAATTGAAAGAAAAGAAATTAAACAACACCTGATGTCAGACGACATGATTCTATATCTTGAAAACCCCTATTGTCTCAACCCCAAAGCTTCTTAAGCTGATAAATATCTTTAACAAAGTCCCAAGATACAAAATAAATGGGCCAAAATCACTAGCACTAAATCCTTATATACCAACAACAGTCAAGCCAAGAGCAAAATCGTGAATGAACACTCATTCACAGTTACCACAAAAAGAATAAAATACCAAGGAATGTATCTAACAAGAGAAGTGAAAGGCCACTACAAGGAGAACTATAAACCACTTCTCAAAGAAATCAGACATGACATAAACAAATAGAAAAACATTTCATGCTTATGGATAGAAAGAGTTAATATTGTTAAAGTAGACACACTCCACAAAGAAATTTATAGAGTTAATAGTATTTCCGTTAAACTACCAATGACATTTTTCACAAAACTAGAAAAGCTATTTTAAAATTTATATGGAACCAACAAAGGCCTGAATAGTCAAGACAACCCCAAACAAAAAGAACTAAGCTGGAGGCATCACACTACCCAACTTCAAACTGTGCTACAGGGCTACAGAAACCAAAACAGCATGGTACTGGTACAAGAACAGACACACAGACCAATGAAACAGAATAGAGGACCCAGAAATAAGACTGCACACCTACAACTAACTGATCTTCGACAAACCTGACAAAAACAAGCAATGAAAAAACGACTCTGTACTCAATAAATGGTGCTGGGATAACTGCCTAGCCATGTGCAAAAAATTGAAACTGAACCCCTTCCTCCATCATCCTCTGCAACTAACACAGGAACAGAAAACTAACCACCGCATATTCTCACTCATAAGTGGGAGTTGAACAATAAGAACACATGGACACTGGAAGGGAAACAACACAACTGGGGCTAGTCAGGGAATGGGAGTCGAAGGGAGGGAGAGCATTAGGATAACTAGCTAATACATGTGGGACTTGAAGCCTGGATAACGGGCTGATAGGTGCAGTAAACCACCATGGCACACATATACCAATGTAACAAACCTACACATTCTGCACTTGTACTTCAGAACCCAATTTAAATTTAAAAAATAAAGAAAGATTCCTTACATCATATACAACAATAAACTCAACATGGTTTAAATGTAAAACCCAAGACTATAAAAACTTTGGAAGACAACCTAGGCAATACCATTCAGGACATAGGCATGGGCAAATATTTTATGATGAAGGCGCAAAAGCAATTAGAACAAAGAGAACATTGACAAATGGGATCTAATTAAACTAAAGAGCTTTTGCACAGCAAAAGAAACTATCAACAGAGTAAACAGACAATGTATAGAATGGGAGAAAATTTTTGCAAACTGTGCATCTGACAATAATCTAATTTCTAGCATCCATAAGGAACATAAATTTACACGAGAAAAACAAACAACCTTATTAAAAATTGGCCAAAGGACACACAGAAACACTTCTTGAAAGAAGACATACATGCAGCCAATAAGCGTATGAAACAGAAGTTCAACATCAGTGACCATTAGAGAAATGTAAATCCAAACCACAATGAGATATCATTTTATACCAGGTATAATGGTTACCATGAAAAAATCAAAAAATCACAGATGCTGACAAAGTTGTGGAGAAAAAGCAACATTTTTACCCTGTTGGTCGAGTTCAAACGTTGTGGAAGACAGTGTGGTGATTCTTCAAAGACCTAAAGAAAAGAATACCATTTGACCTAGCAATCTCATTACTGGGTATATACCCAAACAAATATAAGTCATTCTATTATAAAGATACCTGCACGCACAAGTTCATCACAGCCCTATTCACAATAGCAAAGACATCAAATCAGCCTACATGTTCATCAATAATAGACTGGTTGAAGAAAACGTAGTTCATATACAACATGGAGTACTATGCAGCCATAAAAAAGCACAAGATTATGTCCTTTGTAGGGACATGGATGGAGCTGGAGGCCATTATCCTTAAAAAACTAACAGAAACAGAAAACCAAATACCACATTTTCTCACTTATAAGTGGAGGGTAGATGATGAGAACACACAGAAACATGGAGGGGAGCAACACGCACCAGGGCCTATCAGGAGGTAGGGGGTGAGAGGAGGGAGAGAATCAGAAAAAATAACTAATAGTTAGTAGACTTAATACCTGGGTGATAAAACAATCTGCACAACCAAACTTCGGGACGGTATGTTTCCATATTTAAAGAACCTGCACATCCTGCCCATATACCCCTGAACTTAAAACAAAGTTCAAAAAAGAAAAACATTTTAGCAAAATGACAGACTATTTTTGACTACCTTCGTGTACAGTTCAGAGTCAGACTGCCCAGCTCTAACATCCTTATTTATGAGAAAGAAAGCATTCTCTCTCTTATCTGCACTATTATATTGGGTTTTCTTTTTTAATTTTTTTGAGACGGAGTTTCACTCTTATTGCCCAGACTGGAGTGCAATGGCGCGATCTCGGTTCACCACAATCTCTACCTCCCGGGTTCAAGCGATTCTCCTGCCTCAGCCTCTCAAGAAGCAGGGATTACAGGCATGCACCACTACGCCTGGAAAATTTTGTATTTTTGGTAGAGACTGGGTTTCTCTATGTTGGTCAGGCTGGTCTTAAACTCCAGACCTCTGGTGATCCGTCTGCCTCAACCTCCCAATGTGTTGGGATAACAGGCGTGAACTACAGCACCCGGTCTGGGTTTTCTTCTATATGTAGGAAAATGTAATCCTAACTAAAGTGCTAGCTTTGCCATGGAATCTCTGTGTAATTCTGGATGTTATGTCACTTTCCTAAGACTTTTTTCTATCTGCATAGTGGTGGAGGCAGTAGTGGGGAAGATTTAATTATACAAAGGGTCCATCAATCCATGTGTTAAGTGAGGATGTCACTACTTTCCAGACTCAGAGGACAGGGGACATATTGTTATGCTCCATGGAAGCTGTTTGGGGGTGGAGGTGGGGCTCACTTGCACACATTGTCTGTGGGCCTTGAAAGATCAAGTGTGTATGACCCTTCTTGAACAGAAGGTCCATGTGCCCAGTGCAGAACCCATCTATTTCTTCCCAAGTGAGGAAGATCTGGGAACACCCTGATCACAGCCTTGCTACACCAATCCTAGTTGGTAGGGACGTTAGACCATATGCATGTTGAGCTGTGGCTTAAGCATTTTGACATCTCACATCTCATTGGATATCTGAAAAACTGAGGTCTGGAGAGAAGCAGGGACTGGCCCAGAGATGATGAAGTGGGCAGAGTCCAAGGGAAAAAAGAGCATTCTGACCTCCTAGGCCAGGGCTCAACACTCTCATGGGGTTTGTTTTGGGAATGAGTCCCTGAGATCCTGGGGATTTTTGCCAATTTTCTCGTCATATGAAGCAAACTCATGTCTGCATCATAGAATTCCACAGGTTTGTGCATACACACACAGACTTCTCAGGCTAAAGGTCATAAGAGGAGTTAACGCTGATGGAGTGATGAGAAGAAAAAAGATAGAGGATAGGGGCAGCTTTGTCATGGGGTAGAAGCACCCCATCTTCTGGTAACATGCCCAGGACCCATAACATGGGCAGGGGAAGGCAATAGGCTGATGGCTTGAGAGGCTCAAGGCTTCCATGGATCTGACTGGGCTGCAGCCAACACCAGGATAGCTTTCCAAGGACAAAACCTTACTTTCTCCATTCATTAATCTGCATAATTAAAATGGTAAGGAATCCCCCTACACCCAATATGGAGAGGAATACAGTAGTGAAAACCTTCAATTTTTCCCTGTACAAATTGACATAATTGAACTGTGTGACCCCTAAATTTGAAAGGCTTAAAGAAGTGAGTTGACCTTGCTGTCTATCAATTACCACTGTACTCTCAGAACTTTGGAAATTGCTCTGTGTCCTCCGAAGGTCTTTCAGAGCAGAAAGTGGCCTAGGGGTGTGCGGGACTGAGCACTCAGGCTGGTGTAGAATGTGACAGATCCTCAGACCACTGCTCTGGGATCCAAGGAGAAGACCTTCTCGGTCAGAGCTTTGGGGATCTTTTTTTTGGAGGGGGCGATCTTTTTTGAAAGTGGAGACAGAATCGTTTTCCAGGGCTCCCTCATTTGCCCTCCTGTTTCATAGTATTTCTTTTTTCTGTCTTTCTTTCTTTCTTTCTTTCTTTCTTTCTTTCTTCTTTCTTTCTTTCTTCTTTCTTTTTCTTTCTTTCTTCTTTCTTTCTTTCCTTCTTTTTCTTTCTCTTTCTTTCTTTCTCCTTCGTTTCTTTTCTTTCTTCCTTTCTTTCTTCTTTCTCTTTCTTTTGTTCTTCCTTCATTCCTTCCTTCCGTTTCTTTCTTTCTTCTTTCTTTCTTTCCTCTTCCTTCATTCCTTCCTTCCTTTTCTTTCTTTCTTTCTTTCTTTCTCTTTCTTTCTCCTTCCTTCCTCCCTCCCTTTCTTTTCTTTCTTTCCTTATTTTCTTTTTTCTTTCTTCTTTCTTTCTTTCTTCTTTCTTTCTTTCTTTCTTTCTTTCTTTCTTTCTTTATCAGAGTCTCTCTCTTCTCGCTCTTTCACGGGACTGGAGTGGAGTGGCATGATCTCGGCTCACTGCAACCTCCACCTCCCGGGTTCAAGTGATTCACTGCAACCTCCACCTCCCAGGTTCAAGTGATTCTCCTGCCTCAGCCTCCTGAGTAGCTGGGAATATAAGGGCGTGCCACCAAGCCTGGCTAATTTTTGTATTATTAGTAGAGACGGGGTTTCGCCATGTTGTCCAGGATGGTCTCGATCTCTTCACCTCGTGATCTGCTTGTATCAGCCTCTGAAAAAAACTGAGATTATAGGTGTGAGCCACCACACAAAGCCTACAGTTTATTTTTCTTTGCTTGTTAAAATGTTTTAGTCAGCTAAAATTTACACAATATAGAGTTCTACATACTATCTAATATAAAGTGTAAAATTCAGTGCTTTTCAGTTTATTTACAATGCTATGCAACTGTCACCCTTATCAAATTCCAAAATAGTTTCATCACCCTCTCACCAAAAAAACTCCATATCCATTAAGCAGTAATTTATCATTCATCCACCGAATTTCCTTGGTAACCACTGATTGACTTTCTATCTCTAGTACTCTCTTTCTTTCTTTCCTTTTTTTTTTTTTTTTTTGGTGTCTCACTCTGTCACCCATGCTAGAGTGCAGTGGCACGATCTCGGCTCGCTGCAAGCTCCACCTCCCTGGTTCACGCCATTCTCCTGCCTCAGCCTCCAGGGTAGCTGGGACTACAGATGCCTGTCAGCACGCCCAGCTATTTTTCTTTGTATTTTTAGTAGAGACAGGGTTTCACCATGTTAGCCAGCATGGTCTCGATCTCCTGACGTCGTGATCTGCCTGCTTCGGCCACCCAAAGTGCTGGGATTACAGGCGTGAGCCATCACACCCGGCTTCTATTTCTAGTTTTCTATTCTAGTCACTTTATAGAAATATAATAATATAATATGTGACCTTTTTTCTTTGGCTTTTCTCTTTGAGCGTGTTTTCATTATTTATCCATGTTGTGGCACATATCAGTTCTGTATTTATTTTTATGGCTAGCTAATACTCCATTGTATAAATAATATTCTATTGGCCAGGGACGATGGCTCACACCTATAAACTCAGTATTTTGGGAGGCTGAGGCTGGTGGATCACCTGAGGTCAGGAGTTCTAGACCAGCCTGGCTGACATGGTGAAACACTGTGTCTACTAAAAATACAAAAATTAGCCGGGCGTGGTTCCTGAAAGCCCAATTGCTCAGGAGGCTGAGGCCAGGGAATCTCTTGAACCCAGGAGGTGGAGGTTACAGTGAGCTGAGATCGTGCCACTGCACTCCAGCATGGGTGACAGAGCAAGACTGTCTCAAAAAAAAAGAAAGAAAATGAGAGGAAATATGTGCAAACTACACAGCTGACAAGCGATTGATAAGCAGAATACAGAATAAACAAAAAACTAAATAAAAAATTAGTTTAACTTTAAAATGGGCAATAATCTTCAGAAACATTTCTGGAAAATGTAAGGGGCATAAACATAGAACCTAAAAGTTAGAGAAGAATTATGAAAAAACTGAAGGATATAGAAAAAATAATTTCAGACTATTCACATTAAAATTTAATTAGAGAGGGGGTGGAGCCAAGATGGGCGAATAGGAAAAGCCTTAGTCTAGAACTCCCAGCATCGGCAATGCAGAACACAGGTGATTTCTGCATTTCCAACTGAGGTACCGGGCTCATCTCACTGGGGAGTGTCAGAAAGTGGGTGCAGGACAGTGGGTGCAGCGCACCCCATGTGAGCCAAAGCATGGTGAGGCATCGCCTCACCCAGGAAGTGCAAGGGGTCAGGGAATACCCTTTCCTAGTCAAAGAAAGGGGTGACAGATTGCACCTGGAAAATCGGGTGACTCCCACCCTAACACTGTACTGTTCCAAAGGTCTTAGCAAACGGCATACCAGGAGATTATATCCTGCACCTGGCTCAGAGGGTCCTACGCCCACAGAGCCACAATCATTGCTAGCACAGCAGTCTGAGATCAAACTGCAAGGCAACAACAAGCCTGGGGGAGGGGCGCCCACCATTGCCGTGGCTTGAGTAGGTAAACAAAGCAGCCAGGAAGCTCCAACTGGGTGGAGCCAACTGCATCTCAAGGAGGCCTGCCTGACTCTGTAGACTCCACCTCTGGGGGCAGGGAATAGCCAAACAAATGGCAGCAGAATCCTCTGCAGACTTAAATGTCCCTGTCTGACAGCTTTGAAGAGAGTAGTGGTTATCCCAGCATGCAACTGGAGATCTGAGAACAGACAGACTGCCTCCTCAAGTGGGTCCCTGACCCCCGAGTAGCCTATCTGGGAAGCATCCCCAGTAGGGGCAGACTGACACCTCACACGGCCGGGTACTCCTCTGAGACAAAATTTCCAGAGGAACAATCAGGCAGCAATATTTGCTTTTCACCAATATCCGCTGTTCTGCAGCCTCCACTGCTGATACCCAGGCAAACAGGGTCTGGAGTGGACCTCCAGCAAACTCCAACAGACCTGCAGCTGAGGGTTCTGACTGTTAGAAGGAAAACTAACAAACAGAAAGTACATCCACAACAAAATCCCATCTGTACATCACAATCATCAAAGACCAAAGGAGAGAAAACTACAAAGATGGGGAAAAAACAGAGCAGAAAAACGGAAAATTCTAAAAATCAGAGTATCTCTCCACCTCCAAAGGAACACAGCTCCTCACCAGCAATGGAACAAAGCTGGACAGAGAATGACTTTGACGAATTGAGAGAAGAAGGCTTCAGACGATCAAACTACTCCGAGCTAAAGGAGGAAGTTCAAACCCATGGCAAAGAAGTGAAAAACCTTTAAAAAAATTAGATGAATAGCTAACTAGAATAACCAATGCAGAGAAGTTCGTAAAGGACCTGATGGAGCTGAAAACCAATGTACGAGAAGTACGTGATGAATGCACAAGCCTCAGTAGCCAATTCGATGAACTGGAAGAAAGGGTGTCAGTGATGGAAGATCAAATGAATGAAATGAAGTGAGAAAAGAAGTTTAGAGAGAAAAAGATAAAAAGAAATGAACAAAACCTCCAAGAAATATGGGACTGTGTGAAAAGACCAAATCTACATCTGATTGGTGTACCTGAAAGTTATGAGGAGAATGGAAACAAGTTGGAAAACACTCTGAAGGATATTATCCATGAGAACTTCCCCAATCTAGCAAGGGAGGGTGACATTCAAATTCAGGAAATACAGAGAACACCAAAAAGATAATCCTCAAGAAGAGCAACTCCAAGACACATAATTGTCAGATTCACCAAAGTTGAAATGAAGGAAAAAATGTTAAGGGCAGCCAGAGAGAAAGGTCGGGTTACCCACAAAGGGAAGCCCATCAGACTAACAGCTGATCTCTCGGCAGAAACTCTACAAGCCAGAAGAGTGGGGAACAATATTCAACATTCTTAAAGAAAAGAATTTTCAATCCAGAATTTCATATTCATTCAAACTAAGCTTCATAAGTGAAGGAGAAATAAAATCCTTTACATACAAGCAAACGATGAGAGATTTTGTCACCACCAGGCCTGCCCTAAAAGAGCTCCTGAAGGAAGCACTAAACATGGAAAGGAACAACCGGTACCAGCCACTGCAAAAACATGCCAAGTTGTAAAGACCATCGAGGCTAGGAAGAAACTGCATCAACTAACGAGCAAAATAACCAGCTAACATCATAATGACAGGATCAAATGCACACAAAACAATATTAACCTTAAAAGTAAATGGACTAAATTCTCCCATTAAAAGACACAGACTGGCAAATTGGATAAAGAGTCAAGACCCATCAGTGTTCTGTATTCAGGAAACGCATCTCACGTGCAGAGACACACATAGGCTCAAAATAAAGGGATGGAGGAAGATCTACCAAGCAAATGGAAAACAGAAAAAGGCAGGGGTTACAATCCTAGTGTCTGATAAAACAGACTTTAAAACAATAAAGATCAAAAGAGACAAAGAAGTCCATTACGTAATGATAAAGGGATCAATGCAATAAGAAGAGCTAATTATCCTGAATATATATGCACCCAATATAGGAGCACACAGATTCATAAAGCAAGTCCTTAGAGACCTAGAAAGAGACTTAGACTCCCACACAATAGTAATGGGAGATTTTAACACCCCACTGTCAACATTAGACATATCAATGAGACAGATAGTTAACAAGGATATCCAGGAATTGAACTCAGCTCTGCACCAAGCAGACCTAATAGACATCTACAGAACTGTCCACCCCAAATCAACAGAATATACATTCTTCTCAGCACCGCACCGCACTTATTCCAAAATTGACCACATAGTTGGAAGTAAAGCACTCCTCAGCAAATTGTAAAAGAACAGAAATTATAAAAACCTCTCTCTCAGACCACACTGCAATAAAACTAGAACTCAGGATTAAGAAACTCACTCAAAACCGCTCAACTACATGGAAACCAAACAACCTGCTCCCGAATGACTACTGGGTACATAACGAAACGAAGGCAGAAATAAAGATGTTCTTTGAAAGCAACGAGAACAAAGACACAACATACCAGAATCTATGGGACACATTCAAAGCAGCGTGTAGAGGGAAATTTATAGCACTAAAGGCCCACAAGAGAAAGCAGAGAAGATCTAAAATTGACACCCTATCATCACAATTAAAAGAACTAGAGAAGCAAGAGCAAACACATTCAAAAGCTAGCAGAAGGCAAGAAATAACTAAGATCAGAGCAGAATTGAAAGAAATAGAAACATAAAAAACCCTTCAAAAAATCAGTGAATTCAGGAGCTGGTTTTTGAAACGATCAACAAAATTGATAGACTGCTAGCAAGACTAGTAAAGAAGAAAAGAGAGAAGAATCAAATAGACGCAATAAAAACTGATCATTTATGTGGCTCAAGTTCTCTAATATAACATAGTACGGTCAAAATGGAAGGGTAAAAATTGCAAGACCACCTTAACGTTTGTCATCTTAAGTGTACTATAAAAATGCCTTTTAAATTAATTCAGTGAATAGGTTTTTAAGTGCATGTTTTAGATTATGCTGAACTGTCAAATACCAGCACATCCCTAATTTGCAGTAGATTAACAGCACTTTTTAGCACACATCACAGAGTTGTTCGGTGGCCAAATTGAAAAGGCACCTCCTCTCCATGTGGTCATTCAGAAACTCAAAGTTCTTTCATTATTTGTCTTCATCATCCATGAGTCGTGGTTGCCGTTTGTGTTCAGTCCCCTGAAAATAAAGTACTTTAAGAAATGCATGCGAGAAGACTTGATGGACTCATCTTAATGTGACTCACATCCATCTCACTCTACAACCATTAACAATAACTGGTCACGTTTCCACATCTCATGCAAATGAGGCTAAGAAATGTAATTCTGCTGTGTCCCTAATAAATGGGAGAATAGAATTTGTTGAATGACCAGAGTTTTCCGTAACATTGTGTCACTCATATGGATTTACTGTGTTTCTCAAATATTTATTAAACATCTGTCATAGCCAAGCACTGTGATAAGGAGTACAGGGAGGACAGAGAGCTGACTCAGCAGAGTCCTAGTCTGAAAGAAACTCACAATCTAAGAAAATAAGAAAAGTCATGTTAGGTGCTGCTATAAAGGCACATGCACACGTATGTTTATTGTGGCACTACTCACAATGCAAATACTTGGAACCAACCGAAATGTCCAACAATGATAGACTGGATCAAGCAAATGTGGCCCATATACACCATGGAATGCTATGCAGCCATAAAAAATGATGAGTTCATGTCCTTTGTGTGTACATGGATGAAGCTGGAAAAGATAATTCTCAGCAAACTATCACAAGGACAAAAAAAAACAAACACCACATGTTCTCGCTTATAGGTGGGAATTGAACAATGAGAACACTTGGACACAGGAAGGGTAACATTACCCACTGGGGAATGTTGTTGGGGGGGGAGGGGGGAGGGATAGCATTTGGAGATATACCTAATGTAAATGACGAGTTAATGGGTGCAGCTCACCAACATGGCACATGTATACATAAGTAACAAACCTGCACGTTGTGCACATGTACCCTAGAACTTAAAGTATAATAAATATATGTATAACATACGTATATATTATATACATGTTCAAGGGATTCTCCTGCCTCAGCCTCCCAAGTAGCTGGGATTACAAGCGCTGCCATTACTCCCAGCTATTTTTTGTATTTTTAGTAGAGAAGGAGTTTTGCCATGTTGACCAGGACGGTCTGGATCTCCTGACCTCATGATCCACACCCCTTGGCCTCCCAGAGTGCTGGGATTACAGGTGTGAGCCACAGCCCCCGGCCTATATGAGTTTTCAAATAGTTTTTTCTAGCTCCGTAAAAAATTTCATTGGCAGTTTGATGGAAATAGTATTAAATCTGTAAATTTCTTTGTGAAGTATAGCCATTTTAGTGATATTGCATCTTCCTATCCGTGAGCATGGGATGGTTTTCCATTTGTTTGTATCTTCTCTGATTTCTTTGAGCAGTGTTTTGTAAATCTCATTGTAGAGCTCTTTCACCTCCCTGGTGAGCTGCATTTCCAGATATTTTATTATTTTAGTGGCAATTGTGAATGGGATGGCCTTTCTGATTTTGCTGTCAGTGTGGCTATCGTTGGTGTAGAAAAATGTTAGTGATCTTTGCACATTGATTTAGTATCTTGAAACTTTGCTGAAGCTGTTTGTTAACTAAAGAAGCTTTGTAGATGAAACTACAGGGTTTTCTAGATAGAGAATTATGTTATCTGCAAACAGAAATAGTTTGGCTTTCTCTCTTCCTATTTGGATGTTCTTCGGATTTCTTTCTCTAGCCTGATTGCTCTGGTCAGTACTGTCAATACTAAGTTGAATAGAAATGGCAAGAGAGGGCATTCTTGCCTTCTACTGGTTTTAAAAAATAATGTTCCCGGCTTTTGCCCATTCAACACATTGTTGGCTGTGGGTTTCTTATAGACGGCTTTTATTATTTTCTGCGTCTATTGAGATAATCATCTTTTTTTTGTTTTTAGTTCTGTTTATGTAATGTATTACATTTATTGATTTGCACATGATGGACCAACCTTGCGTCCTAAGGAGGAAGCCTACTTGATCATGACGGATTACCTGTTTGATGTGCTGCTGGATTTGCCTCCCAAATATTTTGTTGAGAACTTTTGTATTGATGTTCGTCAAGAATGTTGGCCTGAAGTTTTCTTTCCCTTCTTTCTTTTTTTTTTTTTTTTTGACGGTGTCTCCCTCTGTTGCCCAGGCTGGAGTGGATTGCACTGGCGCGATCTCTGCTTAATGCAATCTCTGCCTCCTGAGTTCACGCCATTCTCCTGCTTCAGCCTCCCAAGTAGCTGGGACTACAGGTGTCTGCTACCAAGCCCGGCTAATTTTTTGTGTTTTTGTTGTGTCTCTGCCTGTTTTGGTGTCAAGATCATGCTGTCCTCATAGAATGAGTTGGGGAGAAGACCCTCCTTCTCAATTTTTGGGTATAGTTTCTGTAGGAATTGTACCAGCTCTTCTTTGTACATTTGGTAGAATTTGGCTGTAAGTCCATAAAGTCCAGAGCTTTTTTTTTTGATTGGCAAGCTACTTATTACCTATTTAATATCAGAGTTTTTTACTGGTCTGTTCAGGAAATCATTGTCTTCCTGGCTTAATCTTGAGAGAGTGTGTATATCTAGGAATCTATTTATTTCGTTAAAGTTTTCTAGTTTGTGTGTATAAAGTTGTTCATGTTAGTGCTGTCCCCAGTTAAATAAAAACAACTATTAGAAACCACTAAAGTTTAACACTTGTTTTTATATCTTTAATCAATTTTTATTTAATTTTTCTACTTGGAATGTGATAAAGATTCAACTTTACTGGTTTAAATGTGGACTTGTTTTCCCAGCATTTCTTGTGTAACAAACTGTCTTTACATAATGATTAAGACACACTTTTAAAAAGACAAACAATAATTTATGAAAGGGTTTTTTGGAGTATCTATTTTATTTATTTGATCTCCACAATTGTTCTTATGCCACTATCAAACTGTTATAATTTTAGTAGCTTTTTATGTTTTCAAATTTAAAATTGTGAGCCACCTAATTTTGTCCTTCTTTTCAAGATTATTCTGTACATTCAGAGGATGTTCAAATTCCATATGAAGTTTTAAATGAGCTATTTTCTTTTTGCAGAAGAAAAGTTGGAAAAATGAAAACTTGGGATTACAGTACATCTGTACACTCCTTTGGGCAGTGGTATTGTCATCTTAACTTCATTAAATCTTCCGGTTCAGGAACATGGAATTTGTTGCCAGTTATTTAAGTCCTTTTTAGTTTTTTTCATAAACATTCTGATCCTGTATTTTTTATTGTACAAGATATTTACCTCCTTATTAAATTTATTGCTAAGAATTATATTATTTTAATGTTGTTGCGAACAATTGTTTTCTTAATTTACTGTCAAATTGTTAATTGTATATGGAAATGCAGTTTATGTTTCTGTGTTGTAAAAATAATTATTTCATGTCTCAAATCTAGATTAGCAATTCATTCAGAATAAATATGCTGTATATATTACTAGTCATTTAACTTTTTCCAATAAGCTAACCAATTTCAATATGTCTAAATATGTAAAAATGTTAAATTGTGTTAGATTTTTCACTTACTCTCACCTGTCATTTATCTGTCAGAATTACATTACTGCGCACTAGAACTTTCATTTCTGGGGCCGGGCACGGAGGCTCATGCCTATATTCCTAGCACTTTGTGAGGCCAAGGCAGGCGGACCACCTGAGATCAGGAGTTCGAGACCTGTCTGGCCAATATGGTAAAACCCCGCCTCTACTAAAAATACAAAAATAAGCTGAGCGTGGTCTTGGGAGACTGTATTCCCAGCTACTTTGGAGGCTGACACTGGAGAATCACTTGAACAATCCCACGACACAAAACAACCGAGGTTAGTCTTCATGTCGAAAGTCTTCAATGGATTGTCTTTTATCACAGGATTGCTTAGTGCAACATTTAATGGGAAAGATGCATGCTACTGAGATGTAGTTCTCCACAAGTCTCTTAGAGTTTGTTGTTTTGTTGTGGATTACATCACATACCTGTCCTGTTCCACGTTATTTTTCAAAGATTTTTGTACACAAATAACCTGGAAAAAGGGTAGTAGTTTTTCTCTTCAGGTGAATGGCAGATAAATTACTCAATCAATATAATAAAGACAATTTTTCTTTGTGACGCAAAGGTTGGACAGGCTTCCATGTAACCTACTTTAAAAAGATTGAGGTTTCTTAGTCTTGAGTCTGCTCAGCTATGACACAAATCTTCCCCATGTACAATGTCCATATGAGCCTTTTGAAATCCTTCAAAAAACGTAGTATGGACAAGGAGAACTAATACAAATATGAGGCTTTTGCCTCCAGGTAAGCAGTAAATAGTAGGTATTTTTTTTCATACTTCAGTGTCTCATGCCTTCTACCAGCATCGATGAAAATGGAAGGTTAATATGTTGTTTACAAATGCTATAAAATCTTAGATACGTCACAATTATTTAATTTTGGAGATGACTATGGCATGCTGAGATAAACACAACTTTCTGAAAGGGGAAAAGGAACAAATACTTGAAGAGCTTGCAAGGGATATGAGAAGTTCCCCCAGGACCAACAGCAAATTCTCTCGGCCAAGTGGTTAGTTTGGTGAAGCAAGAGATCAAGACTCTGCTGTCTGCTAATGAGACTGATCCTTGAGAGGATTATAACAATGAACCTGAGAGCTTTGCATGTTCACTTTTCTCCTGCTGGAAAATCAAGGAGCTCTTAAAGCTAATGTTGAGGTTTGGATGAGTCCAAAACAGTAGAAGTTCATGTGGTTCAGCTGTGAGCAGCAAAAAGACTGCAAAAAGCCACATTAAGCAGGTTTTGTAAGTCTCTCCTTTACCCACATGAAGGAACCCATTCCCTCTGCACTTCTAATTTTTGTCCTTTGTCTACAGCTAACTTCAGCAACTTTAAATATTAAACTACATACGATTGGAGGTTTGGATGGGGGAACACAAATGTATGTAGTTCCTTTGGATATATGTATCTAATTCACCATTCTGTGGAGTCCCTTAGGGTGCACAGGGAGATATAGGTGTTAGGGTGGCTGGAAATGCTGACAAACCTATCATTCTATTAATCCAGTTGCTTCCAGATAATGGAAAGCATGGTAAGTCCACTGACATCCGTGAAGATGAGCACACTGCTACACTTTGGCTGTGAAGTGAGTTTCTTGGTCTGAGCAATGCTAAGTGGAATATCATAGGGATGGATGAGGGATTCTGTGAGTCCATGGAGGGTAGTTTTGGCAGAATTCCACCCAGGGAAAGCAAATTTGTATCCATAGTAAGAGCCTACTCCAGTGAGTACAAACTGTTGCCGCCTATATTATAAAAGTTATTCAACGTAATAAATTTACTACCAGGTGCCTGGTGGATCACCCTGGAAATGATGTCATATCAAAGACTCAGTGTAGATCTGTGCTGCTGTCAAATTAAACATTCAGAATTGACTGTAGCCAGACTGGCCTTTGGGATTCAAAGTTCATATTGCTTAGCCCGTGCATTGCTTCTATTTCTGCTACTATGTTCACCTTGTTTATAAGCCCATTGGGTGATGATGGGGGTGACAGGGAAGTAAGAATGACCCATACTCACGGAACAAGACATTCTGTCCACATCATTATCAAAATCATGCTCTGATACGGTTACCCCTTAGTAGGGATTCATATAGAACAGACATATCTTTATGTAATTTACCCAGTGAGAGAAGTTTATCCACAAAAGTTTTTCTATTTTTTTTTTTTGCCAGGAATTTTGTAATCATGTTCCTTCCGTGTCATTGGTCATGTAGCCAATTCATGGGCCACAGCAGTGTTGCAGGAGTGAGTATCATAGGATCTCAAACTCCTGTTCTTAAGCAATCCTTGCCTCAACCTCTTAAGTAGCTGAGACTATAGGTGCACCCCACAACGCCTAACTAATTTTGTTTTATTTTTAGTAGAGATTAGATTTTGCTATGTTTTCCAGGCTGTTCTCACACTCCCCACCTCAAGCGATTCTCCCAGCTTTGCCTGCAAAGTGCTTTGACTAGAGTCAAACCTCCACACCCAGCACCTATAATTTGATATTTTAAACAATACTATGTAGCGAAAGCAATTACGAAGTTATCTAGGGAAAGAAAGCTCACTATCACAGTGTAAAATTGTATAGATATGATGCGGGCATGTGTGTATACATGCTTGCTTGTGTGCATAGGTGCGTGTTTTCTGAGAAATGGTACCTTATTGCTACCAGGCTAGGATAGCATTCATGTTCTTCTGAAGATGTCAAATATTGAAGCTCCAGGATTCATAGAACAAGATTCCTAAGTGGTTCACGAGAGGGTGAACGATTGAGTAATGGGTATTTTGGAAGAAACAACTGGCCTAGGGACAAGAATAAGTGTGCAAATCATCTGTGTGAAACACGCTTTCTTCGGAGCACGCATTTCATGCACTTCATTCTACTGTGACAGATATTGCTACTCTGAGTTTGGGAGAGATTGAACCTAGGGTCTACTGTGAAACTCTGTAGACTAGACTTCTGTCTGAGGCAGCCCCTGCCTGTAACCGTAACCTGCGCCAAACTCCAATGGAGCATTCTTCTCAATGGATAAATGGAAATTCCGGATGATCCGATGGGCAGAGAGTGCGACTGTTTTTTTCAGGAGCTCTGGTTGAATGGTTTTGGGGACTTTCTGGGAGGATGCTCTGCACCCAGAAAAGTAGTCCAACGGGAATCATGAGAAAATGGGCGACTCCGTGTGCCTCCGTCCCCTCCTACTTCCTCACCCACCCCTCCATCAGGGATCCCACGTATTCCAGGATGACACGTGTTTTAGTTGTCTTTGGGCGACAACTAGCGGCAACCGTTATTGAAAATGTAAGCTGTAGAGAACAAAAAAACTCTGGTCGCCTGTTCACAGCTCACTCACTGCAACGTTGAATCCTGGGCTTAAGCAATCCTCCTGCCTCAGCTTCCTGAGTAGCTGGAAATATAGGCATGTGCCACAATGCTGGGCAATATTTTTAAGTAGTGGTAATCTCTCTCGATGTGTTGCCCAGGTTAGTCTCAAACTCCTGTCCTCTATCCAGCCTCCCACCTTGGTCTTCAGAAGTCCTGGGATTACAGGCTTGAGCCACTGTGCTCACTCCTATAATTTGATGTTTTCAACAATACTATGTAGTGAAATGCATCACGAAGACATTTTGCAAAAGAAAGCTCACTATCACATATAAAGTTGTATACTTGTCATGTGCTTACGTGAGCGCATGTTCTTGCCTGTCTGAATGTTTTCTGAGAACTGATCATCTTTTCCCCAGGGACACTGGTTGAAGAGCTGCGGGGATTGTCTGGGAGGGTGTCTCGGGCCCGGAAACGTAATCCAGGAGAGATCAGAAGACCGGCGACCCCATGGGCCTCCATCTCTTTCTCCTTCCTTGACAACCCCTAAACCAGTGACCCCACTCATTCCAGGCTGGAACGTCGTTCGGTTGTCATTTGGCGTCACCTAGCGGTCACTGTTATTGAAAATGGAGGCATCACACCAAAACTTCTGGCCGCCCGCGCACAGCCAGGGAAAACTGGTTTCTCTCGGGCCCCACCCTGACCTCAGAGGCACTCCTTCTGTCCCTCCCCCTATGCCTTGTTGCCTAGGAAACCTCCACCCTGGCTGGGAATGCTTATTTCTTTATTTATTTAGAGACAGAGACAGTTTCGCTCTTGTAGCCCAGGTTGAAGTTCAATGGCGCCATCTCGGCTCACTGCAACCTCTGCCTCCTGGATTCAAGCGATTCTCCTGCCTCAGCCTCCCCACTAGCTGGTATTACATGTGCCTGCCTCTACTCCCAGCAAATTTTTGTATTTTTAGTAGGGACGTCATTTCGCCATGTTGGCCAGTCTGTTCTCGAAGTCCTGACTTCAGATGATCCACCCACCTCAGCCTCTTAAAGTGCTGAGTTTACAGAAATAAGCCAGGGCGCCTAGGCTATCATTTGTTTTTCTTTCTTCCTTTTTTTTTTTTTTTTTTTTTTTTAGTAAGCATGAACAGTTCTACCTGGGTTTTAAAAATTGTGTGTGTGAAAGAAAAATAAATCTTGAGGCTTCCAAATCACTAAAGTAAAGGGAAAAGTCAAGCTGGCAACTGTTTAGGGCCAACCTGCCATTCTATTCAAAGTCACTCCTCTGCTCTTTTCTCTTTTTTTTTTTCTTTTTTGAGATGGAGTCTCGCTCAGATGCTCAAGCTGGAGCCCAGTGGAGCAATCTCGGCTCACTGCAACATTCGCCTCCTGGTTTCAAGCGATAAATGTATATTTGATTGCCTCCTTTGGAGAGGCTAATTAGAAACTCCAAAGAATGCAACCATTTGTCTCTTAACTACCTTTGACCAGGAAGTCCCCTCCTCACTTTCAGTCTTCCCGCGTTTGCTAATTTGTCCCGCCTTTGCAGACCGAACCAATGTTCATCTTGCATACTTTGATTGATGTCTCATGTCTCCCTAGAATGTATAAAACGATAATGTTCTCTGTTTACCTTAGGCACATGTCCTCAGAACCTCCTGAGGCTGTCACGGGTATGCGTCCTGAACCTTGGTTACGTAAACTTTCTAAATTAACTGAGACCTCTCTCAAGTTTTCAGGGTTCACAACGGAAAGTGCATTGTAGCTCCACCCTAGGGCTTACCATTAAGAAAAACTATCCTAAATCTCTGCAGATACAGTCAAACCGGTTGTATGTAAACTGTATGAAACTAAATGCACTTATTACAAGTAAATGAATAAATGCTGAGAAAAAAAATCATGAACCGCTCACCTTTCAAAGAAGCAATAATACTATGAATTATGTGTAATTTCCAGAGTCAGCTAGTTTCAAAATTGTCCCCACTAAACTTGGAAAGGTTCCAGAGTGAGCTATTGTGTCTCCAGCCTTTGCTCCTCCCCCTTCTTTCCCCTGCGCCCTCCCCTCAACCTTTGCCGGCAATCACATTCTCTGATTCTGCAAAAGCAGGTGGGAGCCCTAGAGAGAGTTCTCGTTTTTTTTTTTTTTTTTTTTCTTTTTTGAGATGGAGTCTCGCTTAGAGGCTCAGGATGGAGCCCAATGGAGCAATCTCGGCTCACTGCAACATCCGCTTCCTGGTTTCAGGCGATTCTACTGCCTCAGCCTACCGAGGAGCTGGGTTAACAGGCACCCGTTATTATGCCCAGCTAATTTTTGTATTTTCATAGAGACAGGGTTTAACCATGTTGGCCACGCTGGACTCGAACTCCTGCCATCAGGTGATCCGTCAGCCTCAGCCTTTCAATGTGCCGGGATTACAGGCGTGAGCCACTGTGGCCAGCGAGTTCTCTTTTCTTTGTGAAGGGCAAGGCAAAGTGGAATGGATTCATCTAAAAGCGGAGTGCATGCCCTGGAAAACATCATGGTTAGACCCATGTGAGACAGGTTAGTTTTACTGCGTGTGTTCTCCATGTGTTGTTGCCCATGTGTTGCTACCATGGTAATCCTGCTGAGTATGAGAGGAATCAAAGTTTCACACATTTGGTGTATGTGCTTGACTGAGGAACCAATGGGGTGAAGCTACCATCTGTGGGATTATGACTGAACGCCTCTAAATCAGAATCCCGCCCAGAAGAAAGGATGCAGCAGCGCTGGCAAGACTCGGTTGGCCTCAGATAGCCAGTCCCCAGCCTTTGCCACCGGCCGGACGCTCCGCCCCGCTGTGCGCCAAGACCTTGCTCCGGTCTTATCATCCTAAAAAATGGGGTGCGGCCCCCCATCCTAAAAAACGGGGTGCGGCCAGAAAGGCGTTTGCTCCCTGGCCCGTCACATAACATGCTTATGGGGAATCTGATACTAAACTATTGGTAAACGCCCTGCTTCTGGGTCAGGGTTTCCTATGGAGCAGAGCAACTCCCTCACTGCAACCTATTGAAAGTCAGCCCTCCACACAAGGGGCTCTCAACCAGTGTGCGGGAAAACTAGCGTTGTGGCGTGTCCTGTATAATTCAGCCCTGGACCTCTACCTTCCTTCTTTCCTCCTTTTGCCCCCGGGGACTTAGTTCCCGGGCCTGCTCAGGCCCCCCGCCCCGGAGCCCCAGGGCATGCAGGGCTGTCTCTCGCGAGATAACATTGGCGTCGGCCGTGCATTTGGGAGGGGTCGTTCCCCAACAGCAGGCTTTCCAAGATGCAGCGCTGGGGGTTGCGAGGTAGGGTTGGCGCCCCTGCTCGATGTTCCACCTCTCTGATTGAGCTTCTTTCTCCCATCCCGCTGGGAATTCCTCCACGAGTTGGGACCGGATTCTTCGAGCCTCGTGCGAATGGCTGAGGCGCGGGTGTCAGAGGTTTTGCCCCTGCAGTCCCTGCCTGAGTAGTGTTCGCGCGATGCCCGTGGGTGGCTGTTGGGGTCACAGTCCCTCTCCCCGCCTCAGGGGTGCTGGGATGAAAGACTAGCTAGTCACTACCCTTGTGTCTTTACTCCTCTTCTCTGTCCGGGTCAACCAGCGGACTGCGGGGAAATGGCTGGCAGGTCTGCCAAGTTAGACGGCCTCAAACCTGGGCCGGTTCTGTGTGATAAGGTTCCAACTGCGTCTGATCGCTTCCCTCCGCGAGCACCACATTTGGTCTTTAGGGTGGACCCTGTCGATTAGATGCTGGCCTTTGGCTTCCCGATCAGCCCGCGAATCAGCCGACTGCGGGAAGCAAGCAACATCCAGTTGACACGGCCGCGGGCTTCTCTGTCTGGAAGACCTGGGACCAGGGCCTAAGGCCCCAGTCCTCAGGTCTCTGGTCGCCGTGCCCACCTGATGTCCGCGGCAAGCGTTGGACTTGACCGTCAACTTGGGATTTCTAAGGTAGACCAGATAACTTTGGTCAGCAGCAGTACCGCCCGCATTCACTAGGTGTCGCTTTTTCCTTGCGTTGTTTCTTCCTCTCCAACTGTTTCCACAGTACTTTCAGTTTCTCTTCGTTTTGTTTTTCTTTTATTTTTCTTGCTCCTCTTTCTACACACTGAAGTTGCTGTTGTTTTACATTTACCTTTTATTTATTTGTAGTTTTTGAGGCAGGTTGGAGTGTAAGAATGCAATCTCGGCTTACAGCCGCCTCGACTTTCCAGGACTCCCTCAGGTGATCTTCCTATCTCAGCCTTCCAAGTGGCTGAGACTACAGGAATCACTTAATTCTGTGATGTCGAAGCTGAAGTGAGCCGTGATGATGCCTTGCCCTCCAGTCTGAGTGTTTCAGAAGGTAAGAGAGACAGGTTAAAGAAAAAAATTCCTTGAAATAAACTGCAATTAACTGTGATCTAAATTACCTTTTATAGTTTTTCACTCCCACGAGTTTGTTTATTATTATTGCTGCTTATTATTTCTTTGTATTATTGTTTGTCATTATTGTTATTGTTTTTATTATTTATGTAATTATTTAGAGATGGAGTCTTCCTCTATCACCCAGAGTGCAGTGCAGTGGCGCGACTTTGGGTCACTGCAGCTTCAAATGCCTGGGTTCAAATTCGCAATATGGCGAAACACCCTGTTTACTAAAATCTGTCAATGACACCTTCAGGACCGTTGGTTGTGGCGGCTGCAATTTCGGAGGCTGAGGAGGGCAGTTCGCTAGAGCTCGGGAGTTCAAGACAGCCTCGGAAACAGACTGCAGAGCATTTGTCTGACCAAGACCCGCTGCAGCCTCCACCTCCCGACCCCAAGCGATGTTCTCAACTCAGGCTCCAAAGGATCTGGGACCACAGGCGCCTGCCATCATAATGCCCGGATTTTTTTCTTTTCTTTTCTTTTTCAGTAGAGACGGGGTCTCACTGTGTTGCCAGGGCTGGTCTCAAAGTCCTAGGCTCTAGCAATTCTTCCAACTCAGCCTCCCAAAGTGCTGGGATTATAGGTGTGAGCCACAATGCCCTGCCCTCTTTTTTATTTCCTTCATTTTTTCTCTTTTTTTCTTTCTCTTTCTTTCTGTCTTTTCTTTTTCTTCTCTCTTTTTCTTCCTCCCTTTTTTCTCTCATTTCTCATTCTTTTTTTTTCTGTTTCTATGTCTTTTGGTTTTCTTTTTCATCTTTCTTCCCTTTACATCTCTGTCTGTCTATTTTCTTTTTCTTGATCTTCCTTACTCTCTCTCTCTTTTCTTCATTTCTTTCTTTCCATCCCTCTGTCTGTCTGTCTTTGTGTGGATTTTGGAAAATTCTCCTTATTCTGTATCTCCCTGTGTATCACAAGCCTCTGTGACTTTCACTTTGTTGTTTTTCCTCCTTGTCGCGTAAAAGGCATTCACTGCTCTTTTATTTTGATGCTCTGTGGATGTTCGAAGGGTGGGGAAAAAGTGGTCCACGAATGTGATTGGTTTCATGAGAGACACGAGAGACAAAAGAACATATGATGATTACTTCGCTAAATGCCCTGTTTATTCTTTCAACTGCACTCATACAAGTAAGGACGCAGTTGGTGGGTTGAGAGATCTCTGTGTAGTCATGACTCTGCAATTATACTTGACGAGAGCGGTGATGATGAACGGGCGGCATGGAAACCTGCCCTTCTTTGGTGTCAGTTGAGCACAGTGAGAAGAGATTCACAATGGCCTGTATCTCAACCTGATGGTACTGTGTTTCTGCTCTGATCTTTAGGAATGAGAGAAGCATTCCCGTGCATTCCTGCAACGTCCTTGAAGTTTTCTTTTTAAACTTTTCGATTAACTAACGTATTTATTAATTTATTTGAGATGGAGTCTTGTTCTGTTGGTCAGGCCATGGCGCAGTATCGGGCCACTGCAACCTCCGCCTCCCAGGTTCCAGCGATTCTCTTGCCTTAGCCTCTCGAGTAGCTGGGATAACAGGCACGTGCCACCATACCCAGCTAACTTTTACCTTTTTAGTAAAGACAGGGTTTTCCCATGTTGCCCAGGCTGGTCTTGAACTCCAACTTCCAGGAATCCTGTGGCCTCGTCCTCCCAAAGTGCTGGGAGATCCCAGGTCATCAGACTCGAGAAAGAATGTTGGTTGATATAGAAAGGCGAGACACACTGCGCCCGACCCAAATTGCTATTTTTAAAAATAAACCAGTAGGCTGGGTGCAGTGGGCCACTCCTCTCATCTCAGCAGTTTGCTAGGCGGATGTGGGAGGATTACGAGGTCAGGAGTTTGAGACCAGCCTGGCCAACATAGTCAAACTCTGTCTGTATGAAGAATACAAAAATTAACCAGGTGTGGTGTCACACACCTCTACTCCCAGCTACTCTATATGCTGAGGTAGTAGAATCTGTTGAAGCCGGGAGATGGAGATTGCAGTCAGCCCAGATCATGCCACTGGACTCCAGCTTGGGTGACAGAGTCAGATTCCATCTAAAAAAAAAAAAAGTAATTAAAAATAAGTGAGTTTCCAAGAAGAAATAGAAACCCGCAGTGACACAAACATATGCATCTCACCTTTCGAGGCAGCAATGACACTACAAACTTGTAAACTCAGTTCATTTCTTGACTGCGGACCATGGGTATTTGTGATGCTTCCTCTTGGAACATAGTTCTGTGTGACACCATACCCAGCTAACATTTGCCTTTTTAGTAGTCAGAATTTTGCTATATTGCCCAGACTGCTCTTGAACTCATGAACTCCAGGTATCCGCCCGCCCAAAAAAAAGAGTTGTGATGAAAGGAGACACACAGATGGATTTCAGCCCTTAAAATGGTGCATGCTGCCACATTTCACAGATCTTCCCTGGGCCTTACTGGTATTTGCCCAACATAGAAATGCTTTCTAAAAAGTGACAATTTGCTTACATAATATTTCCACAAGCGATGCCTTGGTCTGTGTTTGTTTTTACGTTTTGTTTTGTTTGTAGTTTTTACTTTACTTATCTCTTTTCAGTTGAAGTAGATTTTACCAATTTTAGGAAGATGTGTATTTTCCCCAAAACCTGTTAGCTGGTGTTTTCTTCGGTCATTAAGTAGCGATTTTCGGAATCTCTCAAGGTACAGTGAGAGCCGATTGGTATAAACTATACTTCATAAAATCTTCTTTCCTTTTCATTTTTTTTTTTTTTTTTTTGTCTTTCAGGTGGAGTTTCGCTCTTATTGCCCAGGCTGGAGTTCAGTGGCGTGACCTCAGCTCACCGCAACCTCTGCCGCCTGTGTTCAAGAGATTTTCCAGTCTTCACCCTTTCGAGTAGCTGAAACCACAGGCAAACACCTCCAGGCCTGGCTAATTTTTTTTTTTTCATAGAGACTAGGTAGCTCCATAATGGTCAGGCTGGTCTAGAACACCCAACCTGAGGCGTACCACCCAACTTGACCACCCAAAGTGCTGAGATTAAAGGCGTGAGCTCCGCGTCTGGCCATAACATCTTATCCTATAGAAGCCCAGAGAGGTTAGGTATGTAGTCCCTGAGACCAGCCTTCCTTGGATGAACTCCAAAGTGATGGCTGAGGATTAGGGAGTGTGGGGTGGGGGCTGGAAAGTCGGTCCCCTATTGTTGCTACCTAGGCCATGACATCCCCAGACTCCCATCGCCTGCTCACCGTTTGAGATTCCCCCCCACCACCGCCTTGGTGGCTGAACTCTTACTTTAATTTCTGTCTTTCTTCGTTTGTTGGGTTTCAGGAGGGGGTGCAGGAAAGACGGTGTGCGTGGGGAGGGGGTGTAGGGTGGGGATGGAGGGGAGCGTCCTAAGGGTCGATGTAGTGTCATGCCTCTTTCATCACCACCACCGAAGATGAAACAATAATCATCTAAATACCGCGTGTTCTCACACATAAGTGGGAACTACATAATGAGAATGCATGCGAAGAACTAGGGGGACGAGAGACGCAGGAGCCTACCTGAGGGAGGACGTGTGGAAGGACAGACAGCTTCAGGACAAAGCAAAACGAGCAGAACACAAAAACTGTAGGGGACTGCGCTGAGAATCCGGGTGAGGAAATCATCGGCACACTGAACCCCCTACTCAGAAGTTTACCTATGAAACAATCTTGCACATGTATGCTTCAAAAACAAATAACAGTTAGGGAAGAAAGAGAGAGAGAGAGAAAGAGAGAGAGACAAGTAAAATAAAGCACCACCTCCTTGACCTGACTCAGGGCGTTTGGGGTCTTCTGGGGAAATGTTCTGAAACAATGGAGTATTTTGGTCTGTTCTTTCTTGTGTCTTTTTTTTTTTTTTTAAGACGGACTCTCGCTCAGCCACCCAGGCTGGAATGCAGTGGTGCACTGGGTTCACTGCAGCAAATATCTCCCGGGTTGAAGCGATTCTCCAGTCTCATCCTCCTGAGTGGCCGGGATTACAGTCACGCGCCATAATGCCCTGCTAATTTTTGAACATTAGTAGAGAAGGGGTATTGCCATGCTTGCGACGCTGGACTTGAAGGCAAAATGAAAATGAAAATGAAACGCAACAAAATAATTAAAAGTGAGTTTCTGGGGAAAAAGAAGAAAAGAAAAAAGAAAAAAACAACAAAACAGAACAACCCCACCGTGACGTACACATACGCCTCTCGCCTTTCGAGGCCTCAAACACGTTAGGAATTATGCGTGATTTCTTTTTTTAACTTCATTTTATGTTATTATCGTGATTGATGTTTCGAGACGGAGTCTCGGAGGCCCGCCCTCCCTGGTTGCCCAGACAACCCCGGGAGACAGACCCTGGCTGGGCCCGATTGTTCTTCTCCTTGGTCAGGGGTTTCCTTGTCTTTCTTCGTGTCTTTAACCCGCGTGGACTCTTCCGCTCGGGTTTGACAGATGGCAGCTCCACTTTAGGCCTTGTTGTTGTTGGGGACTTTCCTGATTCTCCCCAGATGTAGTGAAAGCAGGTAGATTTGCCTTGCCTGGCCTTGCCTGGCCTTGCCTTTTCTTTCTTTCTTTCTTTCTTTATTACTTTCTCTTTTTCTTCTTCTTCTTCTTCTTTTTTTTGAGACAGAGTTTCACTCTTGTTGCCCAGGCTAGAGGGCAATGGCGCGATCTCGGCTCACCGCACCCTCCGCCTCCCAGGTTCAAGCGATTCTCCTGCCTCAGCCTCCTGATTAGCTGGGATTACAGGCATGGGCCACCGTGCCTGGCTGATGTTTGTACTTTTAGTAGAGACGGTGTTTTTCCATGTTGGTCAGGCTGGTCTCCCACTCCCAACCTCAGGTGGTCCGCCTGCCTTAGCCTCCCAAAGTGCTGGGATGACAGGCGTGAGCCACCGCGCCCAGCCTCTCTCTCTCTCTCTCTCTCTCTCTCTCTCTCGCTCGCTTGCTTGCTTGCTTTCGTGCTTTCTTCCTTTCCCGTTTTCTTTCTTTCTTTCTTTCTTTCGTTTCTTTCATGCTTGCTTTCTTGCTTGCTTGCTTGCTTTCGTGCTTTCTTGCTTTCCTGTTTTCTTTCTTTCTTTCTTTCTTTTGTTTCTTTCTTGCTTGCTTTCTTGCTTGCTTGCTTGCTTTCGTGCTTTCTTGCTTTCCTGTTTTCTTTCTTTCTTTCTTTCTTTTCTTTCTTTCTTGCTTGCTTTCCTGCTTGCTTGCTTTCGTGCTTTCTTGTTTTCTCGATTTCTTTCTTTCTTTTGTTTCTTTCCTGCTTGCTTTCTTGCTTGCTTGCTTTCGTGCTTTCTTGCTTTCCTGTTTTCTTTCTTTCTTTCTTTCTTTTGTTTCTTTCTTGCTTGCTTTCTTGCTTGCTTGCTTTCGTGCTTTCTTGTTTTCTCGATTTCTTTCTTTCTTTTGTTTCTTTCCTGCTTGCTTTCTTGCTTGATTGCTTTCGTGCTTTCTTGCTTTCTTGTTTTCTTTCTTTCTTTTGTTTCTTTCTTTCTTGCTTCCTTGTTTTCTTGCTTTCTTGCTTGCTTGCTTTCGTGCTTTCTTGTTTTCTTGCTTTCTTTCTTTTGTTTCTTTCTTGCTTGCTTTCTTGCTTCCTTGTTTTCTTGCTTTCTTGCTTGCTTGCTTTCGTGCTTTCTTGCTTTCTTTTCTTTCTTTCTTTTCTTTTTCTTTCTTTCTTTCTTTCTTGCTTTCTTTTCTTTCATTCATTCCTTCTTTCTTTTCTTTCTTTCTTCCTTCCTTCCTTCCTTCCTTCCTTTCTTTCTTTCTTTCTGTTTCGTCCTTTTGAGACAGAGTTTCACTCTTGTTTCCACGGCTAGAGTGCAATGGCGCGGTCTTGGCTCACCGCACCTTCCGCCTCCCGGGTTCGAGCGCTTCTCCTGCCTCAGCCTCCCGATTAGCGGGGATTACAGGGAGGCACCCCCACGCCTGGCTTGGCTGATGTTTGTGTTTTTAGTAGGCACGCCGTGTCTCTCCATGTTGCTCAGGCTGGTCTCCAACTCCCGACCTCCTGTGATGCGCCCACCTCGGCCTCTCGAAGTGCTGGGATGACGGGCGTGAGCCACCGTGCCCGGCCTGTTGACTCATTTCGCTTTTTTATTTCTTTCGTTTCCACGCGTTTACTTATATGTATTAATGTAAACGTTTCTGTACGCTTATATGCAAACAACGACAACGTGTATCTCTGCATTGAATACTCTTGCGTATGGTAAATACGTATCGGTTGTATGGAAATAGACTTCTGTATGATAGATGTAGGTGTCTGTGTTATACAAATAAATACACATCGCTCTATAAAGAAGGGATCGTCGATAAAGACGTTTATTTTACGTATGAAAAGCGTCGTATTTATGTGTGTAAATGAACGAGCGTACGTAGTTATCTCTGTTTTCTTTCTTCCTCTCCTTCGTGTTTTTCTTCCTTCCTTTCTTCCTTTCTCTCCTTCTTTAGGTTTTTCTTCCTCTCTTCCTTTCCTTCTTTCTCTCTTTCTGTCCTTTTTTCCTTCGTGCTTTATTTCTCTTTCGTTCCCTGTGTTTCCTTCTTTTTTCTTTCCTCTCTGTTTCTTTTTCCCTTCTTTCCTTCGTTTCTTTCCTCATTCTTTCTCTCTTTTTCGTGTTTCTTTCCTTCCCGTCTGTCTTTTAAAAAATGGAGTGTTTCAGAAGTTTACTTTGTGTATCTACGTTTTCTAAATTGTCTCTCTTTTCTCCATTGTCTTCCTCCCTCCCTCCCTCCCTCCCTCCCTGCTCCCTTCCCTCCCTCCTTCCCTTTCGCCATCTGTCTCTTTTCCCCACTCCCCTCCCCCCGTCTGTCTCTGCGTGGATTCCGGAAGAGCCTACGCATTCTGCCTCTCCGTGTGTCTGCAGCGACCCGCGACCGAGTCCTTGTGTGTTCTTTCTCCCTCCCTCCCTCCCTCCCTCCCTCCCTCCCTGCTTCCGAGAGGCATCTCCAAACACCCACGCGCCGTGGGTTGTCTTCTGACTCTGTCGCGGTCGAGGCAGAGACGCGTTTTGGGCACCGTTTGTGTGGGGTTGGGGCAGAGGGGCTGCGTTTTCGGCCTCGGGAAGAGCTTCTCGACTCACGGTTTCGCTTTCGCGGTCCACGGGCCGCCCTGCCAGCCGGATCTGTCTCGCTGACGTCCGCGGCGGTTGTCGGGCTCCATCTGGCGGCCGCTTTGAGATCGTGCTCTCGGCTTCCGGAGCTGCGGTGGCAGCTGCCGAGGGAGGGGACCGTCCCCGCTGTGAGCTAGGCAGAGCTCCGGAAAGCCCGCGGTCGTCAGCCCGGCTGGCCCGGTGGCGCCAGAGCTGTGGCGCGTCGCTTGTGAGTCACAGCTCTGGCGTGCAGGTTTATGTGGGGGAGAGGCTGTCGCTGCGCTTCTGGGCCCGCGGCGGGCGTGGGGCTGCCCGGGCCGGTCGACCAGCGCGCCGTAGCTCCCGAGGCCCGAGCCGCGACCCGCGGGGACCCGCCGCGCGTGGCGCGGGAGGCTGGGGACGCCCTTCCCGGCCCGGTCGCGGGTCCGCGCTCATCCTGGCCGTCTGAGGCGGCGGCCGAATTCGTTTCCGAGTCCCCGTGGGGAGCCGGGGACCGTCCCGCCCCCGTCCCCCGGGTGCCGGGGAGCGGTCCCTCTGCCGCGATCCTTTCTGGCGAGTCCCCGTGCGGAGTCGGAGAGCGCTCCCTGAGCGCGCGTGCGGCCCGAGAGGTCGCGCCTGGCCGGCCTTCGGTCCCTCGTGTGTCCCGGTCGTAGGAGGGGCCGGCCGAAAATGCTTCCGGCTCCCGCTCTGGAGACACGGGCCGGCCCCCTGCGTGTGGCACGGGCGGCCGGGAGGGCGTCCCCGGCCCGGCGCTGCTCCCGCGTGTGTCCTGGGGTTGACCAGAGGGCCCCGGGCGCTCCGTGTGTGGCTGCGATGGTGGCGTTTTTGGGGACAGGTGTCCGTGTCGCGCGTCGCCTGGGCCGGCGGCGTGGTCGGTGACGCGACCTCCCGGCCCCGGGGGAGGTATATCTTTCGCTCCGAGTCGGCATTTTGGGCCGCCGGGTTATTGCTGACACGCTGTCCTCTGGCGACCTGTCGCTGGAGAGGTTGGGCCTCCGGATGCGCGCGGGGCTCTGGCCTACCGGTGACCCGGCTAGCCGGCCGCGCTCCTGCTTGAGCCGCCTGCCGGGGCCCGCGGGCCTGCTGTTCTCTCGCGCGTCCGAGCGTCCCGACTCCCGGTGCCGGCCCGGGTCCGGGTCTCTGACCCACCCGGGGGCGGCGGGGAAGGCGGCGAGGGCCACCGTGCCCCCGTGCGCTCTCCGCTGCGGGCGCCCGGGGCGGCCGCGACAACCCCACCCCGCTGGCTCCGTGCCGTGCGTGTCAGGCGTTCTCGTCTCCGCGGGGTTGTCCGCCGCCCCTTCCCCGGAGTGGGGGGTTGGCCGGAGCCGATCGGCTCGCTGGCCGGCCGGCCGGCCTCCGCTCCCGGGGGGCTCTTCGTGATCGATGTGGTGACGTCGTGCTCTCCCGGGCCGGGTCCGAGCCGCGACGGGCGAGGGGCGGACGTTCGTGGCGAACGGGACCGTCCTTCTCGCTCCGCCCCGCGGGGGTCCCCTCGTCTCTCCTCTCCCCGCCCGCCGGCGGTGCGTGTGGGAAGGCGTGGGGTGCGGACCCCGGCCCGACCTCGCCGTCCCGCCCGCCGCCTTCTGCGTCGCGGGTGCGGGCCGGCGGGGTCCTCTGACGCGGCAGACAGCCCTCGCTGTCGCCTCCAGTGGTTGTCGACTTGCGGGCGGCCCCCCTCCGCGGCGGTGGGGGTGCCGTCCCGCCGGCCCGTCGTGCTGCCCTCTCGGGGGGTTTGCGCGAGCGTCGGCTCCGCCTGGGCCCTTGCGGTGCTCCTGGAGCGCTCCGGGTTGTCCCTCAGGTGCCCGAGGCCGAACGGTGGTGTGTCGTTCCCGCCCCCGGCGCCCCCTCCTCCGGTCGCCGCCGCGGTGTCCGCGCGTGGGTCCTGAGGGAGCTCGTCGGTGTGGGGTTCGGGGCGGTTTGAGTGAGACGAGACGAGACGCGCCCCTCCCACGCGGGGAAGGGCGCCCGCCTGCTCTCGGTGAGCGCACGTCCCGTGCTCCCCTCTGGCGGGTGCGCGCGGGCCGTGTGAGCGATCGCGGTGGGTTCGGGCCGGTGTGACGCGTGCGCCGGCCGGCCGCCGAGGGGCTGCCGTTCTGCCTCCGACCGGTCGTGTGTGGGTTGACTTCGGAGGCGCTCTGCCTCGGAAGGAAGGAGGTGGGTGGACGGGGGGGCCTGGTGGGGTTGCGCGCACGCGCGCACCGGCCGGGCCCCCGCCCTGAACGCGAACGCTCGAGGTGGCCGCGCGCAGGTGTTTCCTCGTACCGCAGGGCCCCCTCCCTTCCCCAGGCGTCCCTCGGCGCCTCTGCGGGCCCGAGGAGGAGCGGCTGGCGGGTGGGGGGAGTGTGACCCACCCTCGGTGAGAAAAGCCTTCTCTAGCGATCTGAGAGGCGTGCCTTGGGGGTACCGGATCCCCCGGGCCGCCGCCTCTGTCTCTGCCTCCGTTATGGTAGCGCTGCCGTAGCGACCCGCTCGCAGAGGACCCTCCTCCGCTTCCCCCTCGACGGGGTTGGGGGGGAGAAGCGAGGGTTCCGCCGGCCACCGCGGTGGTGGCCGAGTGCGGCTCGTCGCCTACTGTGGCCCGCGCCTCCCCCTTCCGAGTCGGGGGAGGATCCCGCCGGGCCGGGCCCGGCGTCCCAGCGGGTTGGGACGCGGCGGCCGGCGGGCGGTGGGTGTGCGCGCCCGGCGCTCTGTCCGGCGCGTGACTCCCTCCGCCGCGAGTCGGCTCTCCGCCCGCTCCCGTGCCGAGTCGTGACCGGTGCCGACGACCGCGTTTGCGTGGCACGGGGTCGGGCCCGCCTGGCCCTGGGAAAGCGTCCCACGGTGGGGGCGCGCCGGTCTCCCGGAGCGGGACCGGGTCGGAGGATGGACGAGAATCACGAGCGACGGTGGTGGTGGCGTGTCGGGTTCGTGGCTGCGGTCGCTCCGGGGCCCCCGGTGGCGGGGCCCCGGGGCTCGCGAGGCGGTTCTCGGTGGGGGCCGAGGGCCGTCCGGCGTCCCAGGCGGGGCGCCGCGGGACCGCCCTCGTGTCTGTGGCGGTGGGATCCCGCGGCCGTGTTTTCCTGGTGGCCCGGCCGTGCCTGAGGTTTCTCCCGGAGCCGCCGCCTCTGCGGGCTCCCGGGTGCCCTTGCCCTCGCGGTCCCCGGCCCTCGCCCGTCTGTGCCCTCTTCCCCGCCCGCCGCCCGCCGATCCTCTTCTTCCCCCCGAGCGGCTCACCGGCTTCACGTCCGTTGGTGGCCCCGCCTGGGACCGAACCCGGCACCGCCTCGTGGGGCGCCGCCGCCGGCCACTGATCGGCCCGGCGTCCGCGTCCCCCGGCGCGCGCCTTGGGGACCGGGTCGGTGGCGCCCCGCGTGGGGCCCGGTGGGCTTCCCGGAGGGTTCCGGGGGTCGGCCTGCGGCGCGTGCGGGGGAGGAGACGGTTCCGGGGGACCGGCCGCGACTGCGGCGGCGGTGGTGGGGGGAGCCGCGGGGATCGCCGAGGGCCGGTCGGCCGCCCCGGGTGCCGCGCGGTGCCGCCGGCGGCGGTGAGGCCCCGCGCGTGTGTCCCGGCTGCGGTCGGCCGCGCTCGAGGGGTCCCCGTGGCGTCCCCTTCCCCGCCGGCCGCCTTTCTCGCGCCTTCCCCGTCGCCCCGGCCTCGCCCGTGGTCTCTCGTCTTCTCCCGGCCCGCTCTTCCGAACCGGGTCGGCGCGTCCCCCGGGTGCGCCTCGCTTCCCGGGCCTGCCGCGGCCCTTCCCCGAGGCGTCCGTCCCGGGCGTCGGCGTCGGGGAGAGCCCGTCCTCCCCGCGTGGCGTCGCCCCGTTCGGCGCGCGCGTGCGCCCGAGCGCGGCCCGGTGGTCCCTCCCGGACAGGCGTTCGTGCGACGTGTGGCGTGGGTCGACCTCCGCCTTGCCGGTCGCTCGCCCTCTCCCCGGGTCGGGGGGTGGGGCCCGGGCCGGGGCCTCGGCCCCGGTCGCGGTCCCCCGTCCCGGGCGGGGGCGGGCGCGCCGGCCGGCCTCGGTCGCCCTCCCTTGGCCGTCGTGTGGCGTGTGCCACCCCTGCGCCCGCGCCCGCCGGCGGGGCTCGGAGCCGGGCTTCGGCCGGCCCCGGGCCCTCGACCGGACCGGTGCGCGGGCGCTGCGGCCGCACGGCGCGACTGTCCCCGGGCCGGGCACCGCGGTCCGCCTCTCGCTCGCCGCCCGGACGTCGGGGCGCCGCGGGGCGGCGGAGCGCCGTCCCCGCCTCGCGCGCCCGCGGGCGCCGGGGCGCGCGCGCGTGGCCGCCGGTCCCTCCCGGCCGCCGGGCGCGGGTCGGGCCGTCCGCCTCCTCGCGGGCGGGCCGACGAAGAAGCGTCGCGGGTCTGTGGCGCGGGGCCCCGGTGGTCGTGTCGCGTGGGGGGCGGGTGGTTGGGGCGTCCGGTTCCCGCGCCCCGCCCCGGCCCCACCGGTCCCGGCCGCCGCCCCCGCGCCCGCTCGCTCCCTCCCGTCCGCCCGTCCGCGGCCCGTCCGTCCGTCCGTCCGTCGTCCTCCTCGCTTGCGGGGCGCCGGGCCCGTCCTCGCGAGGCCCCCCGGCCGGCCGTCCGGCCGCGTCGGGGCCTCGCCGCGCTCTACCTTACCTACCTGGTTGATCCTGCCAGTAGCATATGCTTGTCTCAAAGATTAAGCCATGCATGTCTAAGTACGCACGGCCGGTACAGTGAAACTGCGAATGGCTCATTAAATCAGTTATGGTTCCTTTGGTCGCTCGCTCCTCTCCTACTTGGATAACTGTGGTAATTCTAGAGCTAATACATGCCGACGGGCGCTGACCCCCTTCGCGGGGGGGATGCGTGCATTTATCAGATCAAAACCAACCCGGTCAGCCCCTCTCCGGCCCCGGCCGGGGGGCGGGCGCCGGCGGCTTTGGTGACTCTAGATAACCTCGGGCCGATCGCACGCCCCCCGTGGCGGCGACGACCCATTCGAACGTCTGCCCTATCAACTTTCGATGGTAGTCGCCGTGCCTACCATGGTGACCACGGGTGACGGGGAATCAGGGTTCGATTCCGGAGAGGGAGCCTGAGAAACGGCTACCACATCCAAGGAAGGCAGCAGGCGCGCAAATTACCCACTCCCGACCCGGGGAGGTAGTGACGAAAAATAACAATACAGGACTCTTTCGAGGCCCTGTAATTGGAATGAGTCCACTTTAAATCCTTTAACGAGGATCCATTGGAGGGCAAGTCTGGTGCCAGCAGCCGCGGTAATTCCAGCTCCAATAGCGTATATTAAAGTTGCTGCAGTTAAAAAGCTCGTAGTTGGATCTTGGGAGCGGGCGGGCGGTCCGCCGCGAGGCGAGCCACCGCCCGTCCCCGCCCCTTGCCTCTCGGCGCCCCCTCGATGCTCTTAGCTGAGTGTCCCGCGGGGCCCGAAGCGTTTACTTTGAAAAAATTAGAGTGTTCAAAGCAGGCCCGAGCCGCCTGGATACCGCAGCTAGGAATAATGGAATAGGACCGCGGTTCTATTTTGTTGGTTTTCGGAACTGAGGCCATGATTAAGAGGGACGGCCGGGGGCATTCGTATTGCGCCGCTAGAGGTGAAATTCTTGGACCGGCGCAAGACGGACCAGAGCGAAAGCATTTGCCAAGAATGTTTTCATTAATCAAGAACGAAAGTCGGAGGTTCGAAGACGATCAGATACCGTCGTAGTTCCGACCATAAACGATGCCGACCGGCGATGCGGCGGCGTTATTCCCATGACCCGCCGGGCAGCTTCCGGGAAACCAAAGTCTTTGGGTTCCGGGGGGAGTATGGTTGCAAAGCTGAAACTTAAAGGAATTGACGGAAGGGCACCACCAGGAGTGGAGCCTGCGGCTTAATTTGACTCAACACGGGAAACCTCACCCGGCCCGGACACGGACAGGATTGACAGATTGATAGCTCTTTCTCGATTCCGTGGGTGGTGGTGCATGGCCGTTCTTAGTTGGTGGAGCGATTTGTCTGGTTAATTCCGATAACGAACGAGACTCTGGCATGCTAACTAGTTACGCGACCCCCGAGCGGTCGGCGTCCCCCAACTTCTTAGAGGGACAAGTGGCGTTCAGCCACCCGAGATTGAGCAATAACAGGTCTGTGATGCCCTTAGATGTCCGGGGCTGCACGCGCGCTACACTGACTGGCTCAGCGTGTGCCTACCCTACGCCGGCAGGCGCGGGTAACCCGTTGAACCCCATTCGTGATGGGGATCGGGGATTGCAATTATTCCCCATGAACGAGGAATTCCCAGTAAGTGCGGGTCATAAGCTTGCGTTGATTAAGTCCCTGCCCTTTGTACACACCGCCCGTCGCTACTACCGATTGGATGGTTTAGTGAGGCCCTCGGATCGGCCCCGCCGGGGTCGGCCCACGGCCCTGGCGGAGCGCTGAGAAGACGGTCGAACTTGACTATCTAGAGGAAGTAAAAGTCGTAACAAGGTTTCCGTAGGTGAACCTGCGGAAGGATCATTAACGGAGCCCGGAGGGCGAGGCCCGCGGCGGCGCCGCCGCCGCGCGCTTCCCTCCGCACACCCACCCCCCCACCGCGACGCGGCGCGTGCGCGGGCGGGGCCCGCGTGCCCGTTCGTTCGCTCGCTCGTTCGTTCGCCGCCCGGCCCCGCCGGCCGCGAGAGCCGGAGAACTCGGGAGGGAGACGGGGGAGAGAGAGAGAGAGAGAGAAAGAGAAAGAAGGGCGTGTCGTTGGTGTGCGCGTGTCGTGGGGCCGGCGGGCGGCGGGGAGCGGTCCCCGGCAGCGGCCCCGACGGCGTGGGTGTCGGCGGGCGCGGGGGCGGTTCTCGGCGGCGTCGCGGCGGGTCTGGGGGTCTCGGTGCCCTCCTCCCCGCCGGGGCCCGTCGTCCGGCCCCGCCGCGCCGGCTCCCCGTCTTCGGGGCCGGCCGGATTCCCGTCGCCTCCGCCGCGCCGCTCCGCGCCGCCGGGCACGGCCCCGCTCGCTCTCCCCGGCCTTCCCGCTAGGGCGTCTCGAGGGTCGGGGGCCGGACGCCGGTCCCCTCCCCCGCCTCCTCGTCCGCCCCCCCGCCGTCCAGGTACCTAGCGCGTTCCGGCGCGGAGGTTTAAAGACCCCTTGGGGGGATCGCCCGTCCGCCCGTGGGTCGGGGGCGGTGGTGGGCCCGCGGGGGAGTCCCGTCGGGAGGGGCCCGGCCCCTCCCGCGCCTCCACCGCGGACTCCGCTCCCCGGCCGGGGCCGCGCCGCCGCCGCCGCCGCGGCGGCCGTCGGGTGGGGGCTTTACCCGGCGGCCGTCGCGCGCCTGCCGCGCGTGTGGCGTGCGCCCCGCGCCGTGGGGGCGGGAACCCCCGGGCGCCTGTGGGGTGGTGTCCGCGCTCGCCCCCGCGTGGGCGGCGCGCGCCTCCCCGTGGTGTGAAACCTTCCGACCCCTCTCCGGAGTCCGGTCCCGTTTGCTGTCTCGTCTGGCCGGCCTGAGGCAACCCCCTCTCCTCTTGGGGGGGGGCGGGGGGACGTGCCGCGCCAGGAAGGGCCTCCTCCCGGTGCGTCGTCGGGAGCGCCCTCGCCAAATCGACCTCGTACGACTCTTAGCGGTGGATCACTCGGCTCGTGCGTCGATGAAGAACGCAGCTAGCTGCGAGAATTAATGTGAATTGCAGGACACATTGATCATCGACACTTCGAACGCACTTGCGGCCCCGGGTTCCTCCCGGGGCTACGCCTGTCTGAGCGTCGCTTGCCGATCAATCGCCCCCGGGGGTGCCTCCGGGCTCCTCGGGGTGCGCGGCTGGGGGTTCCCTCGCAGGGCCCGCCGGGGGCCCTCCGTCCCCCTAAGCGCAGACCCGGCGGCGTCCGCCCTCCTCTTGCCGCCGCGCCCGCCCCTTCCCCCTCCCCCCGCGGGCCCTGCGTGGTCACGCGTCGGGTGGCGGGGGGGAGAGGGGGGCGCGCCCGGCTGAGAGAGACGGGGAGGGCGGCGCCGCCGCCGCCCGCGAAGACGGAGAGGGAAAGAGAGAGCCGGCTCGGGCCGAGTTCCCGTGGCCGCCGCCTGCGGTCCGGGTTCCTCCCTCGGGGGGCTCCCTCGCGCCGCGCGCGGCTCGGGGTTCGGGGTTCGTCGGCCCCGGCCGGGTGGAAGGTCCCGTGCCCGTCGTCGTCGTCGTCGCGCGTCGTCGGCGGTGGGGGCGTGTTGCGTGCGGTGTGGTGGTGGGGGAGGAGGAAGGCGGGTCCGGAAGGGGAAGGGTGCCGGCGGGGAGAGAGGGTCGGGGGAGCGCGTCCCGGTCGCCGCGGTTCGCCGCCCGCCCCCGGTGGCGGCCCGGCGTCCGGCCGACCGCCGCTCCCGCGCCCCTCCTCCTCCCCCGCCGCCCCTCCTCCGAGGCCCCGCCCGTCCTCCTCGCCCTCCCCGCGCGTACGCGCGCGCGCCCGCCCGCCCGGCTCGCCTCGCGGCGCGTCGGCCGGGGCCGGGAGCCCGCCCCGCGGCCCGCCCGGCCGCGCCCGTGGCCGCGGCGCCGGGGTTCGCGTGTCCCCGGCGGCGACCCGCGGGACGCCGCGGTGTCGTCCGCCGTCGCGCGCCCGCCTCCGGCTCGGCCGCGCCGCGCCGCGCCGGGGCCCCGTCCCGACTTCCGCGTCGGGGCGGCGGCGGCGCCGCGTCCTCGGACCCGTCCCCCCGACCTCCGCGGGGGAGACGGGTCGGGGCGTGCGGCGCCCGTCCCGCCCCCGGCCCGTGCCCCTCCCTCCGGTCGTCCCGCTCCGGCGGGGCGGCGCGGGGGTGCCCTCGGCCGCGGCTCTCTCTCCCGTCGCCTCTCCCCCTCGCCGGGCCCGTCTCCCGACGGAGCGTCGGGCGGGCGGTCGGGCCGGCGCGATTCCGTCCGTCCGTCCGCCGAGCGGCCCGTCCCCCTCCGAGACGCGACCTCAGATCAGACGTGGCGACCCGCTGAATTTAAGCATATTAGTCAGCGGAGGAAAAGAAACTAACCAGGATTCCCTCAGTAACGGCGAGTGAACAGGGAAGAGCCCAGCGCCGAATCCCCGCCCCGCGGCGGGGCGCGGGACATGTGGCGTACGGAAGACCCGCTCCCCGGCGCCGCTCGTGGGGGGCCCAAGTCCTTCTGATCGAGGCCCAGCCCGTGGACGGTGTGAGGCCGGTAGCGGCCCCCGGCGCGCCGGGCCCGGGTCTTCCCGGAGTCGGGTTGCTTGGGAATGCAGCCCAAAGCGGGTGGTAAACTCCATCTAAGGCTAAATACCGGCACGAGACCGATAGTCAACAAGTACCGTAAGGGAAAGTTGAAAAGAACTTTGAAGAGAGAGTTCAAGAGGGCGTGAAACCGTTAAGAGGTAAACGGGTGGGGTCCGCGCAGTCCGCCCGGAGGATTCAACCCGGCGGCGGGTCCGGCCGTGTCGGCGGCCCGGCGGATCTTTCCCGCCCCCCGTTCCTCCCGACCCCTCCACCCGCCCTCCCTTCCCCCGCCGCCCCTCCTCCTCCTCCCCGGAGGGGGCGGGCTCCGGCGGGTGCGGGGGTGGGCGGGCGGGGCCGGGGGTGGGGTCGGCGGGGGACCGTCCCCCGACCGGCGACCGGCCGCCGCCGGGCGCATTTCCACCGCGGCGGTGCGCCGCGACCGGCTCCGGGACGGCTGGGAAGGCCCGGCGGGGAAGGTGGCTCGGGGGGCCCCGTCCGTCCGTCCGTCCGTCCTCCTCCTCCCCCGTCTCCGCCCCCCGGCCCCGCGTCCTCCCTCGGGAGGGCGCGCGGGTCGGGGCGGCGGCGGCGGTGGCGGCGGCGGCGGCGGCGGCGGGACCGAAACCCCCCCCGAGTGTTACAGCCCCCCCGGCAGCAGCACTCGCCGAATCCCGGGGCCGAGGGAGCGAGACCCGTCGCCGCGCTCTCCCCCCTCCCGGCGCCCACCCCCGCGGGGAATCCCCCGCGAGGGGGGTCTCCCCCGCGGGGGCGCGCCGGCGTCTCCTCGTGGGGGGGCCGGGCCACCCCTCCCACGGCGCGACCGCTCTCCCACCCCTCCTCCCCGCGCCCCCGCCCCGGCGACGGGGGGGGTGCCGCGCGCGGGTCGGGGGGCGGGGCGGACTGTCCCCAGTGCGCCCCGGGCGGGTCGCGCCGTCGGGCCCGGGGGGAGGTTCTCTCGGGGCCACGCGCGCGTCCCCCGAAGAGGGGGACGGCGGAGCGAGCGCACGGGGTCGGCGGCGACGTCGGCTACCCACCCGACCCGTCTTGAAACACGGACCAAGGAGTCTAACACGTGCGCGAGTCGGGGGCTCGCACGAAAGCCGCCGTGGCGCAATGAAGGTGAAGGCCGGCGCGCTCGCCGGCCGAGGTGGGATCCCGAGGCCTCTCCAGTCCGCCGAGGGCGCACCACCGGCCCGTCTCGCCCGCCGCGCCGGGGAGGTGGAGCACGAGCGCACGTGTTAGGACCCGAAAGATGGTGAACTATGCCTGGGCAGGGCGAAGCCAGAGGAAACTCTGGTGGAGGTCCGTAGCGGTCCTGACGTGCAAATCGGTCGTCCGACCTGGGTATAGGGGCGAAAGACTAATCGAACCATCTAGTAGCTGGTTCCCTCCGAAGTTTCCCTCAGGATAGCTGGCGCTCTCGCAGACCCGACGCACCCCCGCCACGCAGTTTTATCCGGTAAAGCGAATGATTAGAGGTCTTGGGGCCGAAACGATCTCAACCTATTCTCAAACTTTAAATGGGTAAGAAGCCCGGCTCGCTGGCGTGGAGCCGGGCGTGGAATGCGAGTGCCTAGTGGGCCACTTTTGGTAAGCAGAACTGGCGCTGCGGGATGAACCGAACGCCGGGTTAAGGCGCCCGATGCCGACGCTCATCAGACCCCAGAAAAGGTGTTGGTTGATATAGACAGCAGGACGGTGGCCATGGAAGTCGGAATCCGCTAAGGAGTGTGTAACAACTCACCTGCCGAATCAACTAGCCCTGAAAATGGATGGCGCTGGAGCGTCGGGCCCATACCCGGCCGTCGCCGGCAGTCGAGAGTGGACGGGAGCGGCGGGGGCGGCGCGCGCGCGCGCGCGTGTGGTGTGCGTCGGAGGGCGGCGGCGGCGGCGGGGGTGTGTGGGGTCCTCCCCCGCCCCCCCCCCACGCCTCCTCCCCTCCTCCCGCCCACGCCCCGCTCCCCGCCCCCGGAGCCCCGCGGACGCTACGCCGCGACGAGTAGGAGGGCCGCTGCGGTGAGCCTTGAAGCCTAGGGCGCGGGCCCGGGTGGAGCCGCCGCAGGTGCAGATCTTGGTGGTAGTAGCAAATATTCAAACGAGAACTTTGAAGGCCGAAGTGGAGAAGGGTTCCATGTGAACAGCAGTTGAACATGGGTCAGTCGGTCCTGAGAGATGGGCGAGCGCCGTTCTGAAGGGACGGGCGATGGCCTCCGTTGCCCTCGGCCGATCGAAAGGGAGTCGGGTTCAGATCCCCGAATCCGGAGTGGCGGAGATGGGCGCCGCGAGGCGTCCAGTGCGGTAACGCGACCGATCCCGGAGAAGCCGGCGGGAGCCCCGGGGAGAGTTCTCTTTTCTTTGTGAAGGGCAGGGCGCCCTGGAATGGGTTCGCCCCGAGAGAGGGGCCCGTGCCTTGGAAAGCGTCGCGGTTCCGGCGGCGTCCGGTGAGCTCTCGCTGGCCCTTGAAAATCCGGGGGAGAGGGTGTAAATCTCGCGCCGGGCCGTACCCATATCCGCAGCAGGTCTCCAAGGTGAACAGCCTCTGGCATGTTGGAACAATGTAGGTAAGGGAAGTCGGCAAGCCGGATCCGTAACTTCGGGATAAGGATTGGCTCTAAGGGCTGGGTCGGTCGGGCTGGGGCGCGAAGCGGGGCTGGGCGCGCGCCGCGGCTGGACGAGGCGCCGCCGCCCCCCCCACGCCCGGGGCACCCCCCTCGCGGCCCTCCCCCGCCCCACCCCGCGCGCGCCGCTCGCTCCCTCCCCACCCCGCGCCCTCTCTCTCTCTCTCTCCCCCGCTCCCCGTCCTCCCCCCTCCCCGGGGGAGCGCCGCGTGGGGGCGGCGGCGGGGGGAGAAGGGTCGGGGCGGCAGGGGCCGGCGGCGGCCGCCGCGGGGCCCCGGCGGCGGGGGCACGGTCCCCCGCGAGGGGGGCCCGGGCACCCGGGGGGCCGGCGGCGGCGGCGACTCTGGACGCGAGCCGGGCCCTTCCCGTGGATCGCCCCAGCTGCGGCGGGCGTCGCGGCCGCCCCCGGGGAGCCCGGCGGGCGCCGGCGCGNCCCCCCCCCCACCCCACGTCTCGTCGCGCGCGCGTCCGCTGGGGGCGGGGAGCGGTCGGGCGGCGGCGGTCGGCGGGCGGCGGGGCGGGGCGGTTCGTCCCCCCGCCCTACCCCCCCGGCCCCGTCCGCCCCCCGTTCCCCCCTCCTCCTCGGCGCGCGGCGGCGGCGGCGGGCGGCGGAGGGGCCGCGGGCCGGTCCCCCCCGCCGGGTCCGCCCCCGGGGCCGCGGTTCCGCGCGGCGCCTCGCCTCGGCCGGCGCCTAGCAGCCGACTTAGAACTGGTGCGGACCAGGGGAATCCGACTGTTTAATTAAAACAAAGCATCGCGAAGGCCCGCGGCGGGTGTTGACGCGATGTGATTTCTGCCCAGTGCTCTGAATGTCAAAGTGAAGAAATTCAATGAAGCGCGGGTAAACGGCGGGAGTAACTATGACTCTCTTAAGGTAGCCAAATGCCTCGTCATCTAATTAGTGACGCGCATGAATGGATGAACGAGATTCCCACTGTCCCTACCTACTATCCAGCGAAACCACAGCCAAGGGAACGGGCTTGGCGGAATCAGCGGGGAAAGAAGACCCTGTTGAGCTTGACTCTAGTCTGGCACGGTGAAGAGACATGAGAGGTGTAGAATAAGTGGGAGGCCCCCGGCGCCCCCCCGGTGTCCCCGCGAGGGGCCCGGGGCGGGGTCCGCCGGCCCTGCGGGCCGCCGGTGAAATACCACTACTCTGATCGTTTTTTCACTGACCCGGTGAGGCGGGGGGGCGAGCCCCGAGGGGCTCTCGCTTCTGGCGCCAAGCGCCCGGCCGCGCGCCGGCCGGGCGCGACCCGCTCCGGGGACAGTGCCAGGTGGGGAGTTTGACTGGGGCGGTACACCTGTCAAACGGTAACGCAGGTGTCCTAAGGCGAGCTCAGGGAGGACAGAAACCTCCCGTGGAGCAGAAGGGCAAAAGCTCGCTTGATCTTGATTTTCAGTACGAATACAGACCGTGAAAGCGGGGCCTCACGATCCTTCTGACCTTTTGGGTTTTAAGCAGGAGGTGTCAGAAAAGTTACCACAGGGATAACTGGCTTGTGGCGGCCAAGCGTTCATAGCGACGTCGCTTTTTGATCCTTCGATGTCGGCTCTTCCTATCATTGTGAAGCAGAATTCACCAAGCGTTGGATTGTTCACCCACTAATAGGGAACGTGAGCTGGGTTTAGACCGTCGTGAGACAGGTTAGTTTTACCCTACTGATGATGTGTTGTTGCCATGGTAATCCTGCTCAGTACGAGAGGAACCGCAGGTTCAGACATTTGGTGTATGTGCTTGGCTGAGGAGCCAATGGGGCGAAGCTACCATCTGTGGGATTATGACTGAACGCCTCTAAGTCAGAATCCCGCCCAGGCGGAACGATACGGCAGCGCCGCGGAGCCTCGGTTGGCCTCGGATAGCCGGTCCCCCGCCTGTCCCCGCCGGCGGGCCGCCCCCCCCTCCACGCGCCCCGCGCGCGCGGGAGGGCGCGTGCCCCGCCGCGCGCCGGGACCGGGGTCCGGTGCGGAGTGCCCTTCGTCCTGGGAAACGGGGCGCGGCTGGAAAGGCGGCCGCCCCCTCGCCCGTCACGCACCGCACGTTCGTGGGGAACCTGGCGCTAAACCATTCGTAGACGACCTGCTTCTGGGTCGGGGTTTCGTACGTAGCAGAGCAGCTCCCTCGCTGCGATCTATTGAAAGTCAGCCCTCGACACAAGGGTTTGTCCGCGCGCGCGCGCGCGCGTGCGTGCGGGGGGCCCGGCGGGGCGTGCGCGTCCGGCGCCGTCCGTCCTTCCGTTCGTCTTCCTCCCTCCCGGCCTCTCCCGCCGACCGCGGGCGTGGTGGTGGGGGTGGGGGGGAGGGCGCGCGACCCCGGTCGGCGCGCCCCGCTTCTTCGGTTCCCGCCTCCTCCCCGTTCACCGCCGGGGCGGCTCGTCCGCTCCGGGCCGGGACGGGGTCCGGGGAGCGTGGTTTGGGAGCCGCGGAGGCGGCCGCGCCGAGCCGGGCCCGTGGCCCGCCGGTCCCCGTCCCGGGGGTTGGCCGCGCGGGCCCCGGTGGGGCGGCCACCCGGGGTCCCGGCCCTCGCGCGTCCTTCCTCCTCGCTCCTCCGCACGGGTCGACCAGCAGACCGCGGGTGGTGGGCGGCGGGCGGCGAGGCCCCACGGGGCGTCCGCGCACCCGGCCGACCTCCGCTCGTGACCTCTCCTCGGTCGGGCCTCCGGGGTCGACCGCCTGCCGCCCGCGGGCGTGAGACTCAGCCGGCGTCTCGCCGTGTCCCGGGTCGACCGGCGGGCCTTCTCCACCGAGCGGCGTGTAGGAGTGCCCGTCGGGACGAACCGCAACCGGAGCGTCCCCGTCTCGGTCGGCACCTCCGGGGTCGACCAGCTGCCGCCCGCGAGCTCCGGACTTAGCCGGCGCCTGCACGTGTCCCGGGTCGACCAGCAGGCGGCCGCCGGACGCTGCGGCGCACCGACGCGAGGGCGTCGATTCCCGTTCGCGCGCCCGCGACCTCCACCGGCCTCGGCCCGCGGTGGAGCTGGGACCACGCGGAACTCCCTCTCTCACATTTTTTTCAGCCCCACCGCGAGTTTGCGTCCGCGGGACTTTTAAGAGGGAGTCACTGCTGCCGTCAGCCAGTAATGCTTCCTCCTTTTTTGCTTTTAGGTTTTGTCTTGCCTTTTTTTTTTTTTTCTTTCTTTCTTTCTTTCTTTCTTTTTCTTTCTTTCTTTCTTTCTTTCTCGCTCTCGCTCTCTCCCTCCCTCGCTCGTTTTCTCTCTCTCTCGCTCTTGCCCTCTCGCTCTCTCCCTCGCTCGTTTTCTCTCTCTCTCTCTCTCTCTCTCTCTCTGTCTCTCGCTCTCGCCCTCTCTCTCTCTCTGTCTCTCTGTCTCTCTCTCTCTCTCTCTCTCTCTCTCTCTCTCTCTGTCGCTCTCGCCCTCTCGCTCTCTCTCTGTCTCTGTCTGTGTCTCTCTCTCTCCCTCCCTCCCTCCCTCCCTCCCTCCCTCCCTCCCTCCCTCCCTCCCCTTCCTTGGTGCCTTCTCGGCTCTTGAGACTTAGCCGCTGTCTCGCCGTGCCCCGGGTCGACCGGCGGGCCTTCTCCACCGAGCGGCGTGTAAGAGTGCCCGTCGGGACGAGCCGGACCCGCCGCGTCCCCGTCTCGGTCGGCACCTCCGGGGTCGACCAGCTGCCGCCCGCGAGCTCCGGACTTAGCCGGCGTCTGCACGTGTCCCGGGTCGACCAGCAGGCGGCCGCCGGACGCTGCGGCGCACCGACGCGAGGGCGCTGATTCCCGTTCACGCGCCCGCGACCTCCACCGGCCTCGGCCCGCCGTGGAGCTGGGACCACGCGGAACTCCCTCTCCTACATTTTTTTCAGCCCCACCGCGAGTTTGCGTCCGCGGGACTTTTAAGAGGGAGTCACTGCTGCCGTCAGCCAGTAATGCTTCCTCCTTTTTTGCTTTTAGGTTTTGTCTTGCCTTTTTTTTTTTTTTTTTTTTTTCTTTCTTTCTTTCTTTCTTTCTTTCTTTCTTTCTTTCTTTCTTTCTTTCTCGCTCTCGCTCTCTCGCTCTCTCCCTCGCTCGTTTTCTTTCTCTTTCTCTTTCTCTCTCTCTCTCTCTCTCTCTCTCTGTCTCTCGCTCTCGCCCTCTCTCTCTCTCTCTTTCTCTCTGTCTCTCTCTGTCTCTCTCTCTCTCTCTCTCTCTCTCTCTCTCTCTCTCTCTCTCTCTCTCTCTCCCTCCCCCTCCCTCCCTCTCTCCCCTTCCTTGGTGCCTTCTCGGCTCTTGACACTTAGCCGCTGTCTCGCCGTGTCCCGGGTCGACCGGCGGGCCTTCTCCACCGAGCGGCGTGTAAGAGTGCCCGTCGGGACGAGCCGGACCCGCCGCGTCCCCGTCTCGGTCGGCACCTCCGGGGTCGACCAGCTGCCGCCCGCGAGCTCCGGACTTAGCTGGCGTCTGCACGTGTCCCGGGTCGACCAGCAGGCGGCCGCCGGACGCTGCGGCGCACCGACGCGAGGGCGTCGATTCCGGTTCACGCGCCGGCGACCTCCACCGGCCTCGGCCCGCGGTGGAGCTGGGACCACGCGGAACTCCCTCTTCTACATTTTTTTCAGCCCCACTGCGAGTTTGCGTCCGCGGGACTTTTAAGAGGGAGTCACTGCTGCCGTCAGCCAGTAATGCTTCCTCCTTTTTTGCTTTTTGGTTTTGCCTTGCGTTTTCTTTCTTTCTTTCTTTCTTTCTTTCTTTCTTTCTTTTCTTTCTTTCTTTCTTTCTTTCTTTCTTTCTCTCTCTCTCTCTCTCTCTCTGTCTCTCTCCCCTCCCTCCCTCCTTGGTGCCTTCTCGGCTCGCTGCTGCTGCTGCCTCTGCCTCCACGGTTCAAGCAAACAGCAAGTTTTCTATTTCGAGTAAAGACGTAATTTCACCATTTTGGCCGGGCTGGTCTCGAACTCCCGACCTAGTGATCCGCCCGCCTCGGCCTCCCAAAGACTGCTGGGAGTACAGATGTGAGCCACCATGCCCGGCCGATTCCTTCCTTTTTTCAATCTTATTTTCTGAACGCTGCCGTGTATGAACATACATCTACACATACACACACACACACACACACACACACACACACACACACACACACACACACACACACCCCCCGTAGTGATAAAACTATGTAAATGATATTTCCATAATTAATACGTTTATATTATGTTACTTTTAATGGATGAATATGTATCGAAGCCCCATTTCATTTACATACACGTGTATGTATATCCTTCCTCCCTTCCTTCATTCATTATTTATTAATAATTTTCGTTTATTTATTTTCTTTTCTTTTGGGGCCGGCCCGCCTGGTCTTCTGTCTCTGCGCTCTGGTGACCTCAGCCTCCCAAATAGCTGGGACTACAGGGATCTCTTAAGCCCGGGAGGGAGAGGTTAACGTGGGCTGTGATCGCACACTTCCACTCCAGCTTACGTGGGCTGCGGTGGGGTGGGGTGCAGAGAAAACGATTGATTGCGATCTCAATTGCCTTTTAGCTTCATTCATACCCTGTTATTTGCTCGTTTATTCTCATGGGTTCTTCTGTGTCATTGTCACGTTCATCGTTTGCTTGCCTGCTTGCCTGTTTATTTCCTTCCTTCCTTCCTTCCTTCCTTCCTTCCTTCCTTCCCTCCTTCCTTCCTTCCTTCCCTCCCTTACTGGCAGGGTCTTCCTCTGTCTCTGCCGCCCAGGATCACCCCAACCTCAACGCTTTGGACCGACCAAACGGTCGTTCTGCCTCTGATCCCTCCCATCCCCATTACCTGAGACTACAGGCGCGCACCACCACACCGGCTGACTTTTATGTTGTTTCTCATGTTTTCCGTAGGTAGGTGTGTGTGTGTGTGTGTGTGTGTGTGTGTGTGTGTGTGTGTGTGTGTGTGTGTGTATCTATGTATGTACGTATGTATGTATGTATGTGAGTGAGATGGGTTTCGGGGTTCTATCATGTTGCCCACGCTGGTCTCGAACTCCTGTCCTCAAGCAATCCGCCTGCCTGCCTCGGCCGCCCACACTGCTGCTATTACAGGCGTGAGACGCTGCGCCTGGCTCCTTCTACATTTGCCTGCCTGCCTGCCTGCCTGCCTGCCTGCCTGCCTGCCTGCCTGCCTGCCTGCCTATCAATCGTCTTCTTTTTAGTACGGATGTGCTCTCGCTTTATTGTCCATGCTCTGGGCACACGTGGTCTCTTTTCAAACTTCTATGATTATTATTATTGTAGGCGTCATCTCACGTGTCGAGGTGATCTCGAACTTTTAGGCTCCAGAGATCCTCCCGCATCGGCCTCCCGGAGTGCTGTGATGACACGCGTGGGCACGGTACGCTCTGGTCGTGTTTGTCGTGGGTCGGTTCTTTCCGTTTTTAATACGGGGACTGCGAACGAAGAAAATTTCCAGACGCATCTCACCGATCCGCCTTTTCGTTCTTTCTTTTTATTCTCTTTAGACGGAGTTTCACTCTTGTCGCCCAGGGTGGAGTACGATGGCGGCTCTCGGCTCACCGCACCCTCCGCCTCCCAGGTTCAAGTGATTCTCCTGCCTCAGCCTTCCCGAGTAGCTGGAATGACAGAGATGAGCCATCGTGCCCGGCTAATTTTTCTATTTTTACTACAGATGGGGTTTCTCCATCTTGGTCAGGCTGGTCTTCAACTTCCGACCGTTGGAGAATCTTAACTTTCTTGGTGGTGGTTGTTTTCCTTTTTCTTTTTTTTCTTTTCTTTTCTTTCCTTCTCCTCCCCCCCCACCCCCCCTTGTCGTCGTCCTCCTCCTCCTCCTCCTCCTCCTCCTCCTCCTCCTCCTCCTCCTCCTCTTTCATTTCTTTCAGCTGGGCTCTCCTACGTGTGTTGCTCTGTTGCTCACGCTGGTCTCAAACTCCTGGCCTTGACGCTTCTCCCGTCACATCCGCCGTCTGGTTGTTGAAATGAGCATCTCTCGTAAAATGGAAAAGATGAAAGAAATAAACACGAAGACGGAAAGCACGGTGTGAACGTTTCTCTTGCCGTCTCCCGGGGTGTACCTTGGACCCGGAAACACGGAGGGAGCTTGGCTGAGTGGGTTTTCGGTGCCGAAACCTCCCGAGGGCCTCCTTCCCTCTCCCCCTTGTCCCCGCTTCTCCCCCAGCCGAGGCTCCCACCGCCGCCCTGGCATTTTCCATAGGAGAGGTATGGGAGAGGACTGACACGCCTTCCAGATCTATATCCTGCCGGACGTCTCTGGCTCGGCGTGCCCCACCGGCTACCTGCCACCTTCCAGGGAGCTCTGAGGCGGATGCGACCCCCACCCCCCCGTCACGTCCCGCTACCCTCCCCCGGCTGGCCTTTGCCGGGCGACCCCAGGGGAACCGCGTTGATGCTGCCTTCGGATCCTCCGGCGAAGACTTCCACCGGATGCCCCGGGTGGGCCGGTTGGGATCAGACTGGACCACCCCGGACCGTGCTGTTCTTGGGGGTGGGTTGACGTACAGGGTGGACTGGCAGCCCCAGCATTGTAAAGGGTGCGTGGGTATGGAAATGTCACCTAGGATGCCCTCCTTCCCTTCGGTCTGCCTTCAGCTGCCTCAGGCGTGAAGACAACTTCCCATCGGAACCTCTTCTCTTCCCTTTCTCCAGCACACAGATGAGACGCACGAGAGGGAGAAACAGCTCAATAGATACCGCTGACCTTCATTTGTGGAATCCTCAGTCATCGACACACAAGACAGGTGACTAGGCAGGGACACAGATCAAACACTATTTCCGGGTCCTCGTGGTGGGATTGGTCTCTCTCTCTCTCTCTCTCTCTCTCTCTCTCTCTCTCTCTCTCGCACGCGCACGCGCGCACACACACACACAATTTCCATATCTAGTTCACAGAGCACACTCACTTCCCCTTTTCACAGTACGCAGGCTGAGTAAAACCCGCCCCACCCTCCACCCGTTGGCTGACGAAACCCCTTCTCTACAATTGATGAAAAAGATGATCTGGGCCGGGCACGCTAGCTCACGCCTGTCACTCCGGCACTTTGGGAGGCCGAGGCGGGTGGATCGCTTGGGGCCGGGAGTTCGAGACCAGGCTGGCCGACGTGGCGAAACCCCGTCTCTCTGAAAAATAGAACGATTAGCCGGGCCTGGTGGCGTGGGCTTGGAATCACGACCGCTCGGGAGACTGGGGCGGGCGACTTGTTCCAACCGGGGAGGCCGAGGTTGCGATGAGCTGAGATCGTGCCGTGGCGATGCGGCCTGGATGACGGAGCGAGACCCCGTGTCGAGAGAATCATGATGTTATTATAAGATGAGTTGTGCGCGGTGATGGCCGCCTGTAGTCGCGGCTACTCGGGAGGCTGAGACGAGGAGAAGATCACTTGAGGCCCCACAGGTCGAGGCTTCGGTCGGCCGTGACCCACTGTATCCTGGGCAGTCACCGGTCAAGGAGATATGCCCCTTCCCCGTTTGCTTTTCTTTTCTTCCCTTCTCTTTTCTTCTTTTTGCTTCTCTTTTCTTTCTTTCTTTCTTTCTTTCTTTCTTTCTTTCTTTCTTTTTCTTTTTCTCTCTTCCCCTCTTTCTTTCCTGCCTTCCTGCCTTTCTTCTTTTCTTCTTTCCTCCCTTCCTCCCTTCCTTCTTTCCTCCCGCCTCAGCCTCCCAAAGTGCTGGGATGACTGGCGGGAGGCACCATGCCTGCTTGGCCCAAAGAGACCCTCTTGGAAAGTGAGACGCAGAGAGCGCCTTCCAGTGATCTCATTGACTGATTTAGAGACGGCATCTCGCTCCGTCACCCCGGCAGTGGTGCCGTCGTAACTCACTCCCTGCAGCGTGGACGCTCCTGGACTCGAGCGATCCTTCCACCTCAGCCTCCAGAGTACAGAGCCTGGGACCGCGGGCACGCGCCACTGTGCCCACACCGTTTTTAATTGTTTTTTTTTCCCCCGAGACAGAGTTTCACTCTCGTGGCCTAGACTGCAGTGCGGTGGCGCGATCTTGGCTCACCGCAACCTCTGCCTCCCGGTTTCAAGCGATTCTCCTGCATCGGCCTCCTGAGTAGCCGGGATTGCGGGCATGCGCTGCCACGTCTGGCTGATTTCGTATTTTTAGTGGAGACGGGGCTTCTCCATGTCGATCGGGCTGGTTTCGAACTCCCGACCTCAGGTGATCCGCCCTCCCCGGCCTCCGGAAGTGCTGGGATGACAGGCGTGAGCCACCGCGCCCGGCCTTCATTTTTAAATGTTTTCCCACAGACGGGGTCTCATCATTTCTTTGCAACCCTCCTGCCCGGCGTCTCAAAGTGCTGGCGTGACGGGCGTGAGCCACTGCGCCTGGACTCCGGGGAATGACTCACGACCACCATCGCTCTACTGATCCTTTCTTTCTTTCTTTCTTTCTTTCTTTCTTTCTTTCTTTCTTTCTTTCTTTCTTTCTTTCTTGATGAATTATCTTATGATTTATTTGTGTACTTATTTTCAGACGGAGTCTCGCTCTGGGCGGGGCGAGGCGAGGCGAGGCACAGCGCATCGCTTTGGAAGCCGCGGCAACGCCTTTCAAAGCCCCATTCGTATGCACAGAGCCTTATTCCCTTCCTGGAGTTGGAGCTGATGCCTTCCGTAGCCTTGGGCTTCTCTCCATTCGGAAGCTTTGACAGGCGCAACCCCACCCAGAGGCTGGCTGCGGCTGAGGATTAGGGGGTGTGTTGGGGCTGAAAACTGGGTCCCCTATTTTTGATACCTCAGCCGACACATCCCCCGACCGCCATCGCTTGCTCGCCCTCTGAGATCCCCCGCCTCCACCGCCTTGCAGGCTCACCTCTTACTTTCATTTCTTCCTTTCTTGCGTTTGAGGAGGGGGTGCGGGAATGAGGGTGTGTGTGGGGAGGGGGTGCGGGGTGGGGACGGAGGGGAGCGTCCTAAGGGTCGATTTAGTGTCATGCCTCTTTCACCACCACCACCACCACCGAAGATGACAGCAAGGATCGGCTAAATACCGCGTGTTCTCATCTAGAAGTGGGAACTTACAGATGACAGTTCTTGCATGGGCAGAACGAGGGGGACCGGGGACGCGGAAGCCTGCTTGAGGGAGGAGGGGTGGAAGGAGAGACAGCTTCAGGAAGAAAACAAAACACGAATACTGTCGGACACAGCACTGACTACCCGGGTGATGAAATCATCTGCACACTGAACACCCCCGTCACAAGTTTACCTATGTCACAGTCTTGCACATGTATGCTTGAACGACAAATAAAAGTTAGGGGGGAGAAGAGAGGAGAGAGAGAGAGAGAGAGAGACAGAGAGAGACAGAGAGAGAGAGAGAGGAGGGAGAGAGAAAACGAAACACCACCTCCTTGACCTGAGTCAGGGGGTTTCTGGCCTTTTGGGAGAACGTTCAGCGACAATGCAGTATTTGGGCCCGTTCTTTTTTTTTCTTCTTCTTTTCTTTCTTTTTTTTTGGACTGAGTCTCTCTCGCTCTGTCACCCAGGCTGCGGTGCGGTGGCGCTCTCTCGGCTCACTGAAACCTCTGCTTCCCGGGTTCCAGTGATTCTTCTTCGGTAGCTGGGATTACAGGCGCACACCATGACGGCCGGCTCATATTCCTATTTTCAGTAGAGACGGGGTTTCTCCACGTTGGCCACGCTGGTCTCGAACTCCTGACCTCAAATGATCCGCCTTCCTGGGCCTCCCAAAGTGCTGGAAACGACAGGCCTGAGCCGCCGGGATTTCAGCCTTTAAAAGCGCGGGCCCTGCCACCTTTCGCTGTGGCCCTTACGCTCAGAATGACGTGTCCTCTCTGCCGTAGGTTGACTCCTTGAGTCCCCTAGGCCATTGCACTGTAGCCTGGGCAGCAAGAGCCAAACTCCGTCCCCCCACCTCCCCGCGCACATAATAACTAACTAACAAACTAACTAACTAACTAAACTAACTAAATAAATAAAATCTCTACACGTCACCTCTAAGTGTGTGTTCCCGTGAGGAGTGATTTCTAAGAAATGGCACTGTACACTGAACGCAGTGGCTCACGTCTGTCATCCCGAGGTCAGGAGTTCGAGACCAGCCCGGCCAACGTGGTGAAACCCCCGTCTCTACTGAAAATACGAAATGGAGTCAGGCGCCGTGGGGCAGGCACCTGTAACCCCAGCTACTCGGGAGGCTGGGGTGGAAGAATTGCTTGAACCTGGCAGGCGGAGGCTGCAGTGACCCAAGATCGCACCACTGCACTACAGCCTGGGCGACAGAGTGAGACCCGGTCTCCAGATAAATACGTACATAAATAAATACACACATACATACATACATACATACATACATACATACATACATACATCCATGCATACAGATATACAAGAAAGAAAAAAAGAAAAGAAAAGAAAGAGAAAATGAAAGAAAAGGCACTGTATTGCTACTGGGCTAGGGCCTTCTCTCTGTCTGTTTCTCTCTGTTCGTCTCTGTCTTTCTCTCTGTGTCTCTTTCTCTGTCTGTCTGTCTCTTTCTTTCTCTCTGTCTCTGTCTCTGTCTTTGTCTCTCTCTCTCCCTCTCTGCCTGTCTCACTGTGTCTGTCTTCTGTCTTACTCTCTTTCTCTCCCCGTCTGTCTCTCTCTCTCTCTCTCCCTCCCTGTTTGTTTCTCTCTCTCCCTCCCTGTCTGTTTCTCTCTCTCTCTTTCTGTCTGTTTCTGTCTCTCTCTGTCTGTCTATGTCTTTCTCTGTCTGTCTCTTTCTCTGTCTGTCTGCCTCTCTCTTTCTTTTTCTGTGTCTCTCTGTCGGTCTCTCTCTCTCTGTCTGTCTGTCTGTCTCTCTCTCTCTCTCTCTGTGCCTATCTTCTGTCTTACTCTCTTTCTCTGCCTGTCTGTCTGTCTCTCCCTCCCTTTCTGTTTCTCTCTCTCTCTCTCTCTCTCTCCCCCTCTCCCTGTCTGTTTCTCTCCGTCTCTCTCTCTTTCTGTCTGTTTCTCACTGTCTCTCTCTGTCCATCTCTCTCTCTCTCTGTCTGTCTCTTTCGTTCTCTCTGTCTGTCTGTCTCTCTCTCTCTCTCTCTCTCTCTCTCTCTCTCTCTCTCTGTCTCTCACTCTCTGTGTGTATCTTCTGTCTTACTCTCCTTCTCTGCCTGTCCGTCTGTCTGTCTGTCTGTCTGTCTCTCTCTCCCTTTCTGTCTCTCTCTCTCTCTGTCCCTCTCTCTTTCTGTCTGTTCCTCTCTCTCTCTCTGTCTCTGTCTTTCTCTGTCTGTCTGCCTCTCTCTTTCTTTCTCTTTCTGTGTCTCTCTGTCTCTCTCTCTGTGCCTATCTTCTGTCTTACTCTCTTTCTCTGCCTGCCTGCCTGTCTGTCTGTCTGTCTCTCTCTGTCTCTCTCCCTGCCTTTCTGTTTCTCTCTCTCTCTCCCTCTCTCTCTCCCTCTCTCGCTCTCTCTGTCTTTCTCTCTTTCTCTCTGTTTCTCTGTCTCTCTCTGTCCGTCTCTGTCTTTTTCTGTCTGTCTCTCTCTTTCTTTCTGTCTGTCTCTGTCTCTGTCTCTCTCTCTCTCTCTGCTTGTCTCTCTCACTGTGTCTGTCCTCTGTCTTACTCTCCTTCTCTGCCTGTCCGTCTGTCTGTCTGTCTCTCTCTCTCTCCCTCCCTTTCTGTTTCTCTCTCGCTCTCTCTCTCTCTCTCTCTCTCTCTCTCTGCCTGTTTCTCTTTCTCTCTCTGTCTGTCTCTGTCTTTCTCTGTCTGTCTCTTTCTCTGTCTGTCTGTCTCCTTCTCTCTGTCTCCGTCTCTGTCTCTCTCTCTCTGTCTCTCTCTCTCTGCCTGTCTCACTGTGTCTGTCTTCTGTCTTATTCTCTTTCTCTGTCTGTCTGTCTCTCTCTCTCCCTTCCTGTCTCTTTCTCTCTCTCTCTCTCTTTCTGTCTGTTTCTCTCTGCCTGTCTCCGTCTTTCTCTGTCTGCCTCTCTCTTTCTTTTTCTGCGTCTCTCTGTCTCTCTCTCTCTGTGCCTATCTTCTGTCTTACTCTGTTTCTCTGCCTGCCTGTCTGTCTGTCTGTCTCTCTCTCTCTCTGTCTCTCTCTCTTTCTGTCTGTTTCTCTCTGTCTCTCTGTCCATCTCTGTCTTTCTCTGTCCGTCTCTCTCTTTCTCCCTGTCTCTGTCTCTGCCTCTGCCTCTCTCTCTCTCTGTCTCTCTCTTTCTATCTGTTTCTCTCTGTCTCTCTGTCCATCTCTGTCTTTCTCTGTCTGTCTCTCTCTTTCTCCCTGTCTCTGTCTCTGCCTCTCTCTCTCTCTCTCTGTCTGTCTCTCTCACTGTGTGTGTGTCTCTGTCTCTGCCTCTCTCTCTCTCTCTCTCTCTGTCTGTCTCTCTCACTGTGTGTGTCTGTCTTCTGTCTTACTCTCCTTCTCTGCCTGTCCGTCTGTCTGTCTGTCTCTCCCTCTCTCTCCCTCCCTTTCTGTTTCTCTCTCTCTCTCTCTCTCTTTCTGTCTGTTTCTCTCTTTCTCTCTCTGTCTGTCTCTTTCTCTGTCTGTCTGTCTCTCTCTTTCTTTTTCTCTGTCTCTCTGTCTCTCTCTGTGCCTGTCTCTCTGTCTGTGCCTATCTTCTGTCTTACTCTCTTTCTCTGGCTGACTGCCTGTCTCTCTCTCTCTCTCTCTCTCTCTCTCTCTCTGCCTGTCTCCGTCCCTCCCTCCCTGTCTGTCTGTTTCTCTCTCTGTCCATTTCTGTCTGTCTCTTTCTCTTTCTCTCTCTTTCTTTCTCTCTGTCTCTCTCTGTCTCTCTCTGTCTCTCTCTCTCTCTCTCTCTCTCTCTCTCTCTCTCTCTCTCTGCCTTTCTCTCTCACTGTGTCGGTCTTCTGTCTTACTCTCTTTCTCTGCCTGCCTCTCTGTCTGTCTGTCTGTCTCTCTCCCTCCATGTCTCTCTCTCTCTCTCTCTCACTCACTGTCTCTCCGTCTCTCTCTCTTTCTGTCTGTTTCTCTCTGTCTCTGTCTTTCTGTGTGTCTGTCTGTCTCTCTCTCTATTTGTCTTTCTCCCTCCCTGTCTGTTTCTCTCTCTCTCTCTCTCTCTCTCTCTCTCTCTCTCTCTGTCTGTCTGTTTCTCTCTATCTCTCGCTGTCCATCTCTGTCTTTCTATGTCTGTCTCTTTCTCTGTCAGTCTGTCAGACACCCCCGTGCCGGGTAGGGCCCTGCCCCTTCCACGAAAGTGAGAAGCGCGTGCTTCGGTGCTTAGAGAGGCCGAGAGGAATCTAGACAGGCGGGCCTTGCTGGGCTTCCCCACTCGGTGTACGATTTCGGGAGGTCGAGGCCGGGTCCCCGCTTGGATGCGAGGGGCATTTTCAGACTTTTCTCTCGGTCACGTGTGGCGTCCGTACTTCTCCTATTTCCCCGATAAGCTCCTCGACTTCAACATAAACGGCGTCCTAAGGGTCGATTTAGTGTCATGCCTCTTTCACCGCCACCACCGAAGATGAAAGCAAAGATCGGCTAAATACCGCGTGTTCTCATCTAGAAGTGGGAACTTACAGATGACAGTTCTTGCATGGGCAGAACGAGGGGGACCGGGGACGCGGAAGCCTGCTTGAGGGAGGAGGGGTGGAAGGAGAGACAGCTTCAGGAAGAAAACAAAACACGAATACTGTCGGACACAGCACTGACTACCCGGGTGATGAAATCATCTGCACACTGAACACCCCCGTCACAAGTTTACCTATGTCACAGTCTTGCTCATGTATGCTTGAACGACAAATAAAAGTTCGGGGGGGAGAAGAGAGGAGAGAGAGAGAGAGACGGGGAGAGAGGGGGGAGAGGGGGGGGGAGAGAGAGAGAGAGAGAGAGAGAGAGAGAGAAAGAGAAGTAAAACCAACCACCACCTCCTTGACCTGAGTCAGGGGGTTTCTGGCCTTTTGGGAGAACGTTCAGCGACAATGCAGTATTTGGGCCCGTTCTTTTTTTCTTCTTCTTCTTTTCTTTCTTTTTTTTTGGACTGAGTCTCTCTCGCTCTGTCACCCAGGCTGCGGTGCGGTGGCGCTCTCTCGGCTCACTGAAACCTCTGCTTCCCGGGTTCCAGTGATTCTTCTTCGGTAGCTGGGATTACAGGTGCGCACCATGACGGCCGGCTCATCGTTCTATTTTTAGTAGAGACGGGGTTTCTCCACGTTGGCCACGCTGGTCTCGAACTCCTGACCACAAATGATCCACCTTCCTGGGCCTCCCAAAGTGCTGGAAACGACAGGCCTGAGCCGCCGGGATTTCAGCCTTTAAAAGCGCGGGCCCTGCCACCTTTCGCTGCGGCCCTTACGCTCAGAATGACGTGTCCTCTCTGCCATAGGTTGACTCCTTGAGTCCCCTAGGCCATTGCACTGTAGCCTGGGCAGCAAGAGCCAAACTCCGTCCCCCCACCTCCCCGCGCACATAATAACTAACTAACTAACTAACTAACTAAAATCTCTACACGTCACCCATAAGTGTGTGTTCCCGTGAGGAGTGATTTCTAAGAAATGGTACTGTACACTGAACGCAGTGGCTCACGTCTGTCATCCCGAGGTCAGGAGTTCGAGACCAGCCCGGCCAACGTGGTGAAACCCCCGTCTCTACTGAAAATACGAAATGGAGTCAGGCGCCGTGGGGCAGGCACCTGTAACCCCAGCTACTCGGGAGGCTGGGGTGGAAGAATTGCTTGAACCTGGCAGGCGGAGGCTGCAGTGACCCAAGATCGCACCACTGCACTACAGCCTGGGCGACAGAGTGAGACCCGGTCTCCAGATAAATACGTACATAAATAAATACACACATACATACATACATACATACATACATACATACATACATACAGATATACAAGAAAGAAAAAAAGAAAAGAAAAGAAAGAGAAAATGAAAGAAAAGGCACTGTATTGCTACTGGGCTAGGGCCTTCTCTCTGTCTGTTTCTCTCTGTTCGTCTCTGTCTTTCTCTCTGTGTCTCTTTCTCTGTCTGTCTGTCTGTCTGTCTGTCTCTTTCTTTCTTTCTGTCTCTGTCTTTGTCCCTCTCTCTCCCTCTCTGCCTGTCTCACTGTGTCTGTCTTCTATCTTACTCTCTTTCTCTCCCCGTCTGTCTCTCTCTCACTCCCTCCCTGTCTGTTTCTCTCTCTCTCTCTTTCTGTCTGTTTCTGTCTCTCTCTGTCTGCCTCTCTCTTTCTCTATCTGTCTCTTTCTCTGTCTGTCTGCCCCTCTCTTTCTTTTTCTGTGTCTCTCTGTCTGTCTCTCTCTCTCTCTGTGCCTATCTTCTGTCTTACTCTCTTTCTCTGCCTGTCTGTCTGTCTCTCTCTGTCTCTCCCTCCCTTTCTGCTTCTCTCTCTCTCTCTCTCTCTCCCCCCTCCCTGTCTGTTCTCTCTGTCTCCCTCTCTTTCTGTCTGTTTCTCACTGTCTCTCTCTGTCTGTCTGTTTCATTCTCTCTGTCTCTGTCTCTGTCTCTCTCTCTCTCTGTCTCTCCCTCTCTGTGTGTATCTTTTGTCTTACTCTCCTTCTCTGCCTGTCCGTCTGTCTGTCTGTCTCTCTCTCTCCCTGTCCCTCTCTCTTTCTGTCTGTTTCTCTCTCTCTCTCTCTCTCTCTCTCTCTCTGTCTCTGTCTTTCTCTGTCTGTCCCTTTCTCTGTCTGTCTGCCTCTCTCTTTCTCTTTCTGTGTCTCTCTGTCTCTCTCTCTGTGCCTATCTTCTGTCTTACTCTCTTTCTCTGCCTGTCTATCTGTCTGTCTCTCTCTGTCTCTCTCCCTGCCTTTCTGTTTCTCTCTCTCTCCCTCTCTCGCTCTCTCTGTCTTTCTCTCTTTCTCTCTGTTTCTCTGTCTCTCTCTGTCCGTCTCTGTCTTTTTCTGTCTGTCTGTCTCTCTCTTTCTTTCTGTCGTCTGTCTCTGTCTCTGTCTCTGTCTCTCTCTCTCTCTCTCTCCTTGTCTCTCTCACTGTGTCTGTCTTCTGTCTTACTCTCCTTCTCTGCCTGTCCATCTGTCTGTCTGTCTCTCTCTCTCTCTCCCTACCTTTCTGTTTCTCTCTCGCTAGCTCTCTCTCTCTCTGCCTGTTTCTCTCTTTCTCTCTCTGTCTTTCTCTGTCTGTCTCTTTCTCTGTCTGTCTGTCTCTTTCTCTCTGTCTCTGTCTCTGTCTCTCTCTCTCTCTCTCTCTCTCTGCCTCTCTCACTGTGTCTGTCTTCTGTCTTATTCTCTTTCTCTCTCTGTCTCTCTCTCTCTCTCCTTTCCTGTCTGTTTTTCTCTCTCTCTCTCTCTTTCTGCCTGTTTCTCTCTGTCTGTCTCTGTCTTTCTCTGTCTGTCTGCCTCTCTCTTTCTTTTTCTGCGTCTCTCTGTCTCTCTCTCTCTCTCTCTGTTCCTATCTTCTGTCTTACTCTGTTTCCTTGCCTGCCTGCCTGTCTGTGTGTCTGTCTCTCTCTCTCTCTCTCTCTCTCTCTCTCCCTCCCTTTCTCTTTCTCTGTCTCTCTCTCTCTTTCTGGGTGTTTCTCTCTGTCTCTCTGTCCATCTCTGTCTTTCTATGTCTGTCTCTCTCTTTCTCTCTGTCTCTGTCTCTGCCTCTCTCTCTCTCTCTCTCTCTCTCTCTCTGTCTGTCTCTCTCACTGTGTGTGTCTGTCTTCTGTCTTACTCTCCTTCTCTGCCTGTCCGTCTGTCTGTCTGTCTCTCCCTCTCTCTCCCTCCCTTTCTGTTTCTCTCTCTCTCTCTTTCTGTCTGTTTCTCTCTTTCTCTCTCTGTCTGTCTCTTTCTCTGTCTGTCTGTCTCTCTCTTTCTTTTTCTCTGTCTCTCTGTCTCTCTCTGTGTCTGTCTCTCTGTCTGTGCCTATCTTCTGTCTTACTCTCTTTCTCTGGCTGTCTGCCTGTCTCTCTCTCTCTCTCTGTCTGTCTCCGTCCCTCTCTCCCTGTCTGTCTGTTTCTCTCTCTGCCTCTCTCTCTCTCTGTCTGTCTCTTTCTCTGTCTGTCTGTCTCTCTCTTTCTTTTTCTCTGTCTCTCTGTCTCTCTCTGTGTCTGTCTCTCTTTCTGTGCCTATCTTCTGTCTTACTCTCTTTCTCTGGCTGTCTGCCTGTCTCTCTCTCTCTGCCTGTCTCCGTCCCTCCCTCCCTGTCTGTCTGTTTCTCTCTCTGTCTCTGTCTCTCTGTCCATCTCTGTCTGTCTCTTTCTCTTTCTCTCTCTCTGTCTCTGTCTCTCTCTCTCTCTGCCTGTCTCTCTCACTGTGTCTGTCTTCTGTCTTACTCTCTTTCTCTGCCTGCCTCTCTGTCTGTCTGTCTCTCTCCCTCCATGTCTCTCTCTCTCTCTCACTCACTCTCTCTCCGTCTCTCTCTCTTTCTGTCTGTTTCTCTCTCTGTCTGTCTCTCTCCCTCCATGTCTCTCTCTCTCTCTCTCACTCACTCTCTCTCCGTCTCTCTCTCTCTTTCTGTCTGTTTCTCTCTCTGTCTGTCTCTCTCCCTCCATGTCTCTCTCTCTCCCTCTCACTCACTCTCTCTCCGTCTCTCTCTCTCTTTCTGTCTGTTTCTCTGTCTGTCTGTCTGTCTGTCTGTCTCTCTCTCTCTCTCTCTCTCTCTCTGTTTGTCTTTCTCCCTCCCTGTCTGTCTGTCTGTCTCTCTCTCTCTGTCTCTGTCTCTGTCTCTCTCTCTTTCTCTTTCTGTCTGTTTCTCTCTATCTCTCGCTGTCCATCTCTGTCTTTCTATGTCTGTCTCTTTCTCTGTCAGTCTGTCAGACACCCCCGTGCCGGGTAGGGCCCTGCCCCTTCCACGAGAGTGAGAAGCGCGTGCTTCGGTGCTTAGAGAGGCCGAGAGGAATCTAGACAGGCGGGCCTTGCTGGGCTTCCCCACTCGGTGTACGATTTCGGGAGGTCGAGGCCGGGTCCCCGCTTGGATGCGAGGGGCATTTTCAGACTTTTCTCTCGGTCACGTGTGGCGTCCGTACTTCTCCTATTTCCCCGATAAGCTCCTCGACTTCAACATAAACTGTTAAGGCCGGACGCAACACGGCGAAACCCCGTCTCTACTAAAAATACAAAGCTGAGTCGGGAGCGGTGGGGCAGGCCCCTGTAATGCCAGCTCCTCGGGAGGCTGAGGCGGGAGAATCGCTTGAACCAGGGAAGCGGAGGCTGCAGGGAGCCGAGATCGCGCCACTGCACTACGGCCCAGGCTGTAGAGTGAGTGAGACTCGGTCTCTAAATAAATACGGAAATTAATTAATTCATTAATTCTTTTCCCTGCTGACGGACATTTGCAGGCAGGCATCGGTTGTCTTCGGGCATCACCTAGCGGCCACTGTTATTGAAAGTCGACGTGACACGGAGGGAGGTCTCGCCGACTTCACCGAGCCTGGGGCAACGGGTTTCTCTCTCTCCCTTCTGGAGGCCCCTCCCTCTCTCCCTCGTTGCCTAGGGAACCTCGCCTAGGGAACCTCCGCCCTGGCGGGGGCCCTATTGTTCTTTGATCGGCGCTTTACTTTTCTTTGTGTTTTGGCGCCTAGACTCTTCTACTTGGGCTTTGGGAAGGGTCAGTTTAATTTTCAAGTTGCCCCCCGGCTCCCCCCACTACCCACGTCCCTTCACCTTAATTTAGTGAGTCGGTTAGGTGGGTTTCCCCCAAACCGCCCCCCCCCCCCCCGCCTCCCAACACCCTGCTTGGAAACCTTCCAGAGCCACCCCGGTGTGCCTCCGTCTTCTCTCCCCTTCCCCCACCCCTTGCCGGCGATCTCATTCTTGCCAGGCTGACATTTGCATCGGTGGGCGTCAGGCCTCACTCGGGGGCCACCGTTTTTGAAGATGGGGGCGGCACGGTCCCACTTCCCCGGAGGCAGCTTGGGCCGATGGCATAGCCCCTTGACCCGCGTGGGCAAGCGGGCGGGTCTGCAGTTGTGAGGCTTTTCCCCCCGCTGCTTCCCGCCTCAGGCCTCCCTCCCTAGGAAAGCTTCACCCTGGCTGGGTCTCGGTCACCTTTTATCACGATGTTTTAGTTTCTCCGCCCTCCGGCCAGCAGAGTTTCACAATGCGAAGGGCGCCACGGCTCTAGTCTGGGCCTTCTCAGTACTTGCCCAAAATAGAAACGCTTTCTGAAAACTAATAACTTTGCTCACTTAAGATTTCCAGGGACGGCGCCTTGGCCCGTGTTTGTTGGCTTGTTTTGTTTCGTTCTGTTTTGTTTTGTTCGTGTTTTTCCTTTCTCGTATGTCTTTCTTTTCAGGTGAAGTAGAAATCCCCAGTTTTCAGGAAGACGTCTATTTTCCCCAAGACACGTTAGCTGCCGTTTTTTCCTGTTGTGAACTAGCGCTTTTGTGACTCTCTCAACGTGCAGTGAGAGCCGGTTGATGTTTACTATCCTTCATCATGACATCTTATTTTCTAGAAATCCGTAGGCGAATGCTGCTGCTGCTCTTGTTGCTGTTGTTGTTGTTGTTGTTGTCGTCGTTGCTGTTGTCGTTGTCGTTGTTGTTGTCGTTGTCGTTGTTTTCAAAGTATACCCCGGCCACCGTTTATGGGATCAAAAGCATTATAAAATATGTGTGATTATTTCTTGAGCACGCCCTTCCTCCCCCTCTCTCTGTCTCTCTGTCTGTCTCTGTCTCTCTCTTTCTCTGTCTGTCTTCTCTCTCTCTCTCTCTCTGTGTCTCTCTCTCTCTGCCTGTCTGTTTCTCTCTCTCTGCCTCTCTCTCTCTCTCTCTCTCTGCCTGTCTCTCTCACTGTGTCTGTCTTCTGTCTTACTCCCTTTCTCTGTCTGTCTGTCGGTCTCTCTCTCTCTCTCTCCCTGTCTGTATGTTTCTCTCTGTCTCTGTCTCTCTCTCTCTTTCTGTTTCTCTCTCTCCGTCTCTGTCTTTCTCTGACTGTCTCTCTCTTTCCTTCTCTCTGTCTCTCTCTGCCTGTCTCTCTCACTCTGTCTTCTGTCTTACTCTCTCTCTCTGCCTGTCTCTCTCCCTTCCTGTCTGTTTCTCTCTCTTTCTGTTTCTCTCTGTCTCTGTCCATCTCTGTCTTTCTCCGTCTGTCTCTTTATCTGTCTCTCTCCGTCTGTCTCTTTATCTGTCTCTCTCTCTCTTTCTGTCTTTCTCTCTCTGTGTATCGTTGTCTCTCTCTGTCTGTCTCTGTCTCTGTCTCTCTGTCTCTCTCTCTCTCTCTCTCTCTCTGTCTGTCTGTCCGTCTGTCTGTCTCGGTCTCTGGCTCTCGCTATCCCCCGCCCTCTCTTTTTTTGCAAAAGAAGCTCAAGTACATCTAATCTAATCCCTTACCAAGGCCTGAATTCTTCACTTCTGACATCCCAGATTTGATCTCCCTACAGAATGCTGTACAGAACTGGCGAGTTGATTTCTGGACTTGGATACCTCATAGAAACTACATATGAATAAAGATCCAATCCTAAAATCTGGGGTGGCTTCTCCCTCGACTGTCTCGAAAAATCGTACCTCTGTTCCCCTAGGATGCCGGAAGAGTTTTCTCAATGTGCATCTGCCCGTGTCCTAAGTGATCTGTGACCGAGCCCTGTCCGTCCTGTCTCAAATATGTACGTGCAAACACTTCTCTCCATTTCCACAACTACCCACGGCCCCTTGTGGAACCACTGGCTCTTTGAAAAAAATCCCAGAAGTGGTTTTGGCTTTTTGGCTAGGAGGCCTAAGCCTGCTGAGAACTTTCCTGCCCAGGATCCTGTGTGACCAAAAGTGCCTCTGCTGGGAGCTGGGATCCTCGGGACCATGCTTGCTAGCGCTGGATGAGTCTCTGGAAGGACGCACGGGACTCCGCAAAGCTGACCTGTCCCACCGAGGTCAAATGGATACCTCTGCATTGGCCCGAGGCCTCCGAAGTACATCACCGTCACCAACCGTCACCGTCAGCATCCTTGTGAGCCTGCCCAAGGCCCCGCCTCCGGGGAGACTCTTGGGAGCCCGGCCTTCGTCGGCTAAAGTCCAAAGGGATGGTGACTTCCACCCACAAGGTCCCCACTGAACGGCGAAGATGTGGAGCGTAGGTCAGAGAGGGGACCAGGAGGGGAGACGTCCCGACAGGCGACGAGTTCCCAAGGCTCTGGCCACCCCACCCACGCCCCACGCCCCACGTCCCGGGCACCCGCGGGACACCGCCGCTTTATCCCCTCCTCTGTCCACAGCCGGCCCCACCCCACCACGCAACCCACGCACACACGCTGGAGGTTCCAAAACCACACGGTGTGACTAGAGCCTGACGGAGCGAGAGCCCATTTCACGAGGTGGGAGGGGTGGGGGTGGGGTGGGTTGGGGGTTGTGGGGTCTGTGGCGAGCCCGATTCTCCCTCTTGGGTGGCTACAGGCTAGAAATGAATATCGCTTCTTGGGCGGAGGGGCTTCCTTAGGCCATCACCGCTTGCGGGACTACCTCTCAAACCCTCCCTTGAGGCCACAAAATAGATTCCACCCCACCCATCGACGTTTCCCCCGGGTGCTGGATGTATCCTGTCAAGAGACCTGAGCCTGACACCGTCGAATTAAACACCTTGACTGGCTTTGTGTGTTTGTTTGTTTCTGAGATGGAGTCTTGCTCTGTCCCCCAGGCTGGAGTGCAGTGGCGTGATCTCAGCTCACTGGAACCTCTGCCTCCTGGGTTCAAGTGATTCTCCTGTCTCAGCGCCACCATGGCCGGCTCATTTTTTTTTTTTTTTTTTTTTTTTTTTTTTTTTTTTTTTTTTTGGTAGACACGGGGTTTCACCCTCTTTCATTGGTTTTCACTGGAGATTCTAGATTCGAGCCACACCTCATTCCGTGCCACAGAGAGACTTCTTTTTTTTTTTTTTTTTAAGCGCAACGCAACATGTCTGCCTTATTTGAGTGGCTTCCTATATCATTATAATTGTGTTATAGATGAAGAAACGGTATTAAACACTGTGCTAATGATAGTGAAAGTGAAGACAAAAGAAAGGCTATCTATTTTGTGGTTAGAATAAAGTTGCTCAGTATTTAGAGCTACCTAAATACGTCAGCATTTACACTCTTCCTAGTAAAAGCTGGCCAATCTGAATAATCCTCCTTTAAACAAACACAATTTTTGATAGGGTTAAGATTTTTTTAAGAATGCGACTCCTGCAAAATAGCTGAACAGACGATACACATTTAAAAAAATAACAACACAAGGATCAACCAGACTTGGGAAAAAATCGAAAACCACACAAGTCTTATGAAGAACTGAGTTCTTAAAATAGGACGGAGAACGTAGCTATCGGAAGAGAAGGCAGTATTGGCAAGTTGATTGTTACGTTGGTCAGCAGTAGCTGGCACTATCTTTTTGGCCATCTTTCGGGCAATGTAACTACTACAGCAAAATGAGATATGATCCATTAAACAACATATTCGCAAATCAAAAAGTGTTTCAGTAATATAATGCTTCAGATTTAGAAGCAAATCAAATGATAGAACTCCACTGCTGTAATAAGTCACCCCAAAGATCACCGTATCTGACAAAATAACTACCACAGGGTTATGACTTCAGAATCATACTTTCTCTTGATATTTACTTATGTATGTATTTATTTTTTTTAATTTATTTCTCTTGAGACGGCGTCTCGCTCTGTCGCCCAGGCTGGAGTGCGATGGTGTGATCTCGGCTCACTGCAACCGCCACCTCCCTGGGTTCAAGCGATTCTCCTGCCTCAGCCTCCCGAGTAGCTGGGACTACAGGTGCCCGCCACCACGCCCAGCTAATCTTTATACTTTTAATAGAGACGGGGTTTCACCGTGTCGGCCCGGATGGTCTCGATCTCTTGACCTCGTGACCCGCCCGCCTCGGCCTCCCAAAGTGCTGGGATGACAGGCGTGAGCCACTGAGCCCGGCCTTCTCTTGACGTTTAAACTATGAAGTCAGTCCAGAGAAACGCAATAAATGTCAACGGTGAGGATGGTGTTGAGGCAGAAGTAGGACCACACTTTTTCCTATCTTATTCAGTTGATAACAATATGACCTAGGTAGTAATTTCCTATGTGCCTACTTATACACGAGTACAAAAGAGTAAAACAGAGAGACTGCTAAATTAAAGGGTACGTGAAGTTCTTCATAGTAACTCCGTAAACTGGAACACTGTCAAAAAGCAGCAGCTAGTGAATTGTTTCCATGTATTTTTCTATTATCCAATAAGTGAACTATGCTATTCCTTTCCAGTCTCCCAAGCACTTCTTGTCCCCATCACCACTTCGGTGCTCGAAGAAAAAGTAACAAATCAAGGAACACAACTAAAGAAACACACACACAAACCAAAGACAACTACAGCGTCTGCAAAAGTTTGCTAGAAGACTGAAACTGTTGAGTATAAGGATCTGGTATTCTACGATCATGAGTTCACTTCAGAGTTTGTTCAAGACATACGTTTCGTAAGGAAACATCTTAGTTAGAAGTTATTCAGCAGTAGGTACCATCCCTAAGTATTTTTCACCAAATTCGTGACAATAAAGAGCTATCTAACCAGAAAAATTAGCGAGTACCGGCACCATCCATAGGGCTTTGTCTTTACGCTTCATTAGCACTTACCATGCCTTACAATGTCTAGGATTGACCCTGATAGCATTTCGAAAACAAGCTAATGCTTTGTCCAGTTCTTCAGTGAAGACAAGCTCACGCCCTAATGCGCTATAGGCATAAGCATCATTTGGATCCACTTCGAGAGTTCTCTGGAAGAATTGAATCGCAATATCGTGTTCCCGTTGCAGACCGAAACAGTTCCCTGCAGCACACCAGGCCTCTGGCTGGCGAATTTTTATCCATGTCTGTGAAGTCTTTGGACAGAACTGAAAGAGCAACCTCTTTCGGAGGATGCCAAAGTGTTGTAGAGTAGATCTCCATGCCTTCGACTCTGTAATTCTCAATCCTCCTAACCTCTGAGAATTGTCTTTCAGCTTGCGTGGACTCTGAAAGTTTACAATAGGCCCTTCCGATTTGGCACAGTACCCAACCGGTATTGCAGTGGTGAGAAGCTAGATGGCTCAAGATGCTGATAGCTTCTTTGCCGTGGTAAGAACACAAAGCTAAATAACCTTTCCCCCTTTCACGAAGAAGGCTCATCAAGCCTTCCGCTGCTGCTTTTTGTAGATTAAAAGCCTGAATCTGAGGCGCGATTGTGGCTATTTTCCCTTCTGAAATGACGGAAGAGTCCAATTTTGTCACTTCCAGGCTATCACTTATGTTCGGTGGAGTTATTGCTCCTTTATTAGTTTTACTTTTGGTTCTTCTGTTTGGGATTTTAGGTGGAAACTTCATTTTTAATTTTCTCCTATTCTCCTCGGTTGTGGAGCTGTCACTAGTCAAGAGTCGTGAATTTCTTCGAGGCGGTGCATTTGGGGGAGATGCCATAGTGGGGCTCAATACCTGAGGTGTTGCCCTTGTCGGCGGACCAGAACTTTGTGTTTTTGCAAGGACTGGAGTTACCTTTCGGCTCTTTCCCCTCTGCGAGAAGACAGACGGTGTTCCGGTTTGGCCGATTCTGGCAACAGGCTTTTTTGAAGGGGCTCCGGTGGATGGCACGTCAATGACAGACGGTGTCTCATACCAGTGCAGTTTTGTCAATAGGGTCCGTCTCCGGGACTTGGGGTTTCTAATGGCAAAATGCCAACACTTGGGGTTAATGGACTAACAGCTGCTGGTCCTCCTAATAAACTTCGACCAGTTTTTGGTTTATGTTGAACCTGTTTAGATCATATGGAAGTTCCTGTTCCCAGTGGGACAGTATCAGGTGAAAGGACAGCTGAATCGATAGAAGACACTGGGGAGTCTGTATTCAAGGAGTACTTTGAATTGGAAGATTCTAAATTCCATCCGTTTCATTCGACGGTGTCCTGGGGTGTTTCCGTAAGAACGGTCTCGGGCTGTCTGTGACATAAACTAGGACGAGGTCCAAGTGTTGTGGCGCAACACTTGGACAGGCAGTTGCTAAAGCTCTCTAGAGAGGTGAATCAAAATGTTTGGTCAGGATCTGGCTTTTCCCCCCTATTTCACATCATGATTCAAAGGGACACCAGAGGAAAGGATTTCAACGAAGGCTCTTTTGGTCACATTCTGATCCTTTGGTAAGCCGATCTGTCTTGCAATATACATGTCCCGACGATGGAAGGGGAAAGCGAGCTGAATCACCAAACTCAGGAACGATAATATCATCGTGGCTTTTCTGCTTATGAAACACTCCACCCGATAAGATTTGATCCCCTTCTGCAAGCTTGCTGAGATCAACACAACATTTCGCAAGCAGGCATTTGCATTGCGGGGTAGTACAACTGTGTCCTTTCAAGAGTCTATATGTTTTATAGGCCTTTCCTGAGCGGTAAGAACAGGTCGCCAGTAAGAACAAGGCTTCTTCTGAGTGTACTTCTGCATAAAGGCGTTCTGCGGGGGAAACCGCATCTCGGTAGGCATAGTGGTTTAGTGCTTGCCATATAGCAGCCTGGACGGGTCCCTGCAGCACCGCCATCCTCGAGGCTCAGGCCCACTTTCTGCAGTGCCACAGGCACCCCCCCCCCCCCCATAGCGGCTCCGGCCCGGCCAGCCTCGGCTCATTTAAAGGCACCAGCCGCCGTTACCGGGGGATGGGGGAGTCCGAGACAGAATGACTTCTTTATCCTGCTGACTCTGGAAAGCCCGGCGCCTTGTGATCCATTGCAAACCGAGAGTCACCTCGTGTTTAGAACACGGATCCACTCCCAAGTTCAGTGGGGGGATGTGAGGGGTGTGGCAGGTAGGACGAAGGACTCTCTTCCTTCTGATTCGGTCTGCACAGTGGGGCCTAGGGCTGGAGCTCTCTCCGTGCGGACCGCTGACTCCCTCTACCTTGGGTTCCCTCGGCCCCACCCTGGAACGCCGGGCCTTGGCAGATTCTGGCCCTTCCTGGCCCTTCAGTCGCTGTCAGAAACCCCATCTCATGCTCGGATGCCCCGAGTGACTGTGGCTCGCACCTCTCCGGAAACATTGGAAATCTCTCCTCTACGCGCGGCCACCTGAAACCACAGGAGCTCGGGACACACGTGCTTTCGGGAGAGAATGCTGAGAGTCTCTTGCCGACTCTCTCTTGACTTGAGTTCTTCGTGGGTGCGTGGTTAAGACGTAGTGAGACCAGATGTATTAACTCAGGCCGGGTGCTGGTGGCTCACGCCTGTAACCCCAACACTTTGGGAGGCCGAGGCCGTAGGATCCCTCGAGGAATCGCCTAACCCTGGGGAGGTTGAGGTTGCAGTGAGTGAGCCATAGTTGTGTCACTGTGCTCCAGTCTGGGCGAAAGACAGAATGAGGCCCTGCCACAGGCAGGCAGGCAGGCAGGCAGGCAGAAAGACAACAGCTGTATTATGTTCTTCTCAGGGTAGGAAGCAAAAATAACAGAATACAGCACTTAATTAATTTTTTTTTTTCCCTTCGGACGGAGTTTCACTCTTGGTGCCCACGCTGGAGTGCAGTGGCACCATCTCGGCTCACCGCAACCTCCACCTCCCGCGTTCAAGCGATTCTCCTGCCTCAGCCTCCTGAGTAGCTGGGATTACAGGGAGGAGCCACCACACCCAGCTGATTTTGTATTGTTAGTAGAGACGGCATTTCTCCATGTGGGTCAGGCTGGTCTCGAACTGGCGACCCCAGTGGATCTGCCCGCCCCGGCCTCCCAAAGTGCTGGGGTGACAGGCGTGAGCCATCGTGACTGGCCGGCTACGTTTATTTATTTATTTTTTTAATTATTTTACTTTTTTTTAGTTTTCCATTTTAATCTATTTATTTATTTACATTTATTTATTTATTTATTTATTTACTTATTTATTTATTTTCGAGACAGACTCTCGCTCTGCTGCCCAGGCTGGAGTGCAGCGGCGTGATCTCGGCTCACTGCAAGCTCCGCCTCCCGGGTTCACGCCATTCTCCTGCCTCAGCCTCCCAAGTAGCTGGGACTACAGGCGCCCGCCACCGTGCCCGGCTAACTTTTTGTATTTTGAGTAGAGATGGGGTTTCACTGTGGTAGCCAGGATGGTCTCGATCTCCTGACCCCGTGATCCGTCCACCTCGGCCTCCCAAAGTGCTGGGATGACAGGCGTGAGCCACCGCCCCCGGCCTATTTATCTATTTATTAACTTTGAGTCCAGGTTATGAAACCAGTTAGTTTTTGTAATTTTTTTTTTTTTTTTTTTTTTTTGAGACGAGGTTTCACCGTGTTGCCAAGGCTTGGACCGAGGGATCCACCGGCCCTCGGCCTCCCAAAAGTGCGGGGATGACAGGCGCGAGCCTACCGCGCCCGGACCCCCCCTTTCCCCTTCCCCCGCTTGTCTTCCCGACAGACAGTTTCACGGCAGAGCGTTTGGCTGGCGTGCTTAAACTCATTCTAAATAGAAATTTGGGACGTCAGCTTCTGGCCTCACGGACTCTGAGCCGAGGAGTCCCCTGGTCTGTCTATCACAGGACCGTACACGTAAGGAGGAGAAAAATCGTAACGTTCAAAGTCAGTCATTTTGTGATACAGAAATACACGGATTCACCCAAAACACAGAAAGCAGTCTTTTAGAAATGGCCTTAGCCCTGGTGTCCGTGCCAGTGATTCTTTTCGGTTTGGACCTTGACTGAGAGGATTCCCAGTCGGTCTCTCGTCTCTGGACGGAAGTTCCAGATGATCCGATGGGTGGGGGACTTAGGCTGCGTCCCCCCAGGAGCCCTGGTCGATTAGTTGTGGGGATCGCCTTGGAGGGCGCGGTGACCCACTGTGCTGTGGGAGCCTCCATCCTTCCCCCCACCCCCTCCCCAGGGGATCCCAATTCATTCCGGGCTGACACGCTCACTGGCAGGCGTCGGGCATCACCTAGCGGTCACTGTTACTCTGAAAACGGAGGCCTCACAGAGGAAGGGAGCACCAGGCCGCCTGCGCACAGCCTGGGGCAACTGTGTCTTCTCCACCGCCCCCGCCCCCACCTCCAAGTTCCTCCCTCCCTTGTTGCCTAGGAAATCGCCACTTTGACGACCGGGTCTGATTGACCTTTGATCAGGCAAAAACGAACAAACAGATAAATAAATAAAATAACACAAAAGTAACTAACTAAATAAAATAAGTCAATACAACCCATTACAATACAATAAGATACGATACGATAGGATGCGATAGGATACGATAGGATACAATACAATACGATACGATACAATACAATACAATACAATACAATACAATACAATACAATACAATACAATACGCCGGGCGCGGTGGCTCATGCCTGTCATCCCGTCACTTTGGGATGCCGAGGTGGACGCATCACCTGAAGTCGGGAGTTGGAGACAAGCCCGACCAACATGGAGAAATCCCGTCTCAATTGAAAATACAAAACTAGCCGGGCGCGGTGGCACATGCCTATAATCCCAGCTGCTAGGAAGGCTGAGGCAGGAGAATCGCTTGAACCTGGGAAGCGGAGGTTGCAGTGAGCCGAGATTGCGCCATCGCACTCCAGTCTGAGCAACAAGAGCGAAACTCCGTCTCAAAAATAAATACATAAATAAATACATACATACATACATACATACATACATACATAAATTAAAATAAATAAATAAAATAAAATAAATAAATGGGCCCTGCGCGGTGGCTCAAGCCTGTCATCCCCTCACTTTGGGAGGCCAAGGCCGGTGGATCAAGAGGCGGTCAGACCAACAGGGCCAGTATGGTGAAACCCCGTCTCTACTCACAATACACAACATTAGCCGGGCGCTGTGCTGTGCTGTACTGTCTGTAATCCCAGCTACTCGGGAGGCCGAGCTGAGGCAGGAGAATCGCTTGAACCTGGGAGGCGGAGGTTGCAGTGAGCCGAGATCGCGCCACTGCAACCCAGCCTGGGCGACAGAGCGAGACTCCGTCTCCAAAAAATGAAAATGAAAATGAAACGCAACAAAATAATTAAAAAGTGAGTTTCTGGGGAAAAAGAAGAAAAGAAAAAAGAAAAAAACAACAAAACAGAACAACCCCACCGTGACATACACGTACGCCTCTCGCCTTTCGAGGCCTCAAACACGTTAGGAATTATGCGTGATTTCTTTTTTTAACTTCATTTTATGTTATTATCATGATTGATGTTTCGAGACGGAGTCTCGGAGGCCCGCCCTCCCTGGTTGCCCAGACAACCCCGGGAGACAGACCCTGGCTGGGCCCGATTGTTCTTCTCCTTGGTCAGGGGTTTCCTTGTCTTTCTTCGTGTCTTTAACCCGCGTGGACTCTTCCGCTCGGGTTTGACAGATGGCAGCTCCACTTTAGGCCTTGTTGTTGTTGGGGACTTTCCTGATTCTCCCCAGATGTAGTGAAAGCAGGTAGATTTGCCTTGCCTGGACTTGCCTGGCCTTGCCTTTTCTTTCTTTCTTTCTTTATTACTTTCTCTTTTTCTTCTTCTTCTTCTTCTTCTTCTTCTTCTTCTTCTTCTTCTTCTTCTTCTTTTTTTTTTTGAGACAGAGTTTCACTCTTGTTGCCCAGGCTAGAGGGCAATGGTGCGATCTCGGCTCACCGCACCCTCCGCCTCCCAGGTTCAAGCGATTCTCCTGCCTCAGCCTCCTGATTAGCTGGGATTACAGGCATGGGCCACCGTGCCTGGCTGATGTTTGTACTTTTAGTAGAGACGGTGTTTTTCCATGTTGGTCAGGCTGGTCTCCCACTCCCAACCTCAGGTGGTCCGCCTGCCTTAGCCTCCCAAAGTGCTGGGATGACAGGCGTGAGCCACCGCGCCCAGCCTCTCTCTCTCTCTCTCTCTCTCTCTCTCTCTCTCTCTCTCTCGCTCGCTTGCTTGCTTGCTTTCGTGCTTTCTTGCTTTCCCGTTTTCTTGCTTTCTTTCTTTCTTTCGTTTCTTTCATGCTTGCTTTCTTGCTTGCTTGCTTGCTTTCGTGCTTTCTTGCTTTCCTGTTTTCTTTCTTTCTTTCTTTCTTTTGTTTCTTTCTTGCTTGCTTTCTTGCTTGCTTGCTTTCGTGCTTTCTTGTTTTCTCGATTTCTTTCTTTCTTTTGTTTCTTTCCTGCTTGCTTTCTTGCTTGATTGCTTTCGTGCTTTCTTGCTTTCTTGTTTTCTTTCTTTCTTTTGTTTCTTTCTTTCTTGCTTCCTTGTTTTCTTGCTTTCTTGCTTGCTTGCTTTCGTGCTTTCTTGTTTTCTTGCTTTCTTTCTTTTGTTTCTTTCTTGCTTGCTTTCTTGCTTCCTTGTTTTCTTGCTTTCTTGCTTGCTTGCTTTCGTGCTTTCTTTCTTGCTTTCTTTTCTTTCTTTCTTTTCTTTTTCTTTCTTTCTTGCTTTCTTTTCTTTCATTCATTCATTCTTTCTTTCTTTCCTTTCTTTCTTTCTTTCTTTCTATCTTTCTTTCTTTCTTTCTTTCTGTTTCGTCCTTTTGAGACAGAGTTTCACTCTTGTTTCCACGGCTAGAGTGCAATGGCGCGATCTTGGCTCACCGCACCTTCCGCCTCCCGGGTTCGAGCGCTTCTCCTGCCTCAGCCTCCCGATTAGCGGGGATTACAGGGAGGCACCCCCACGCCTGGCTTGGCTGATGTTTGTGTTTTTAGTAGGCACGCCGTGTCTCTCCATGTTGCTCAGGCTGGTCTCCAACTCCCGACCTCCTGTGATGCGCCCACCTCGGCCTCTCGAAGTGCTGGGATGACGGGCGTGAGCCACCGTGCCCGGCCTGTTGACTCATTTCGCTTTTTTATTTCTTTCGTTTCCACGCGTTTACTTATATGTATTAATGTAAACGTTTCTGTACGCTTATATGCAAACAACGACAACGTGTATCTCTGCATTGAATACTCTTGCGTATGGTAAATACGTATCGGTTGTATGGAAATAGACTTCTGTATGATAGATGTAGGTGTCTGTGTTATACAAATAAATACACATCGCTCTATAAAGAAGGGATCGTCGATAAAGACGTTTATTTTACGTATGAAAAGCGTCGTATTTATGTGTGTAAATGAACGAGCGTACGTAGTTATCTCTGTTTTCTTTCTTCCTCTCCTTCGTGTTTTTCTTCCTTCCTTTCTTCCTTTCTCTCCTTCTTTAGGTTTTTCTTCCTCTCTTCCTTTCCTTCTTTCTCTCTTTCTGTCCTTTTTTCCTTCGTGCTTTATTTCTCTTTCGTTCCCTGTGTTTCCTTCTTTTTTCTTTCCTCTCTGTTTCTTTTTCCCTTCTTTCCTTCGTTTCTTTCCTCATTCTTTCTCTCTTTTTCGTGTTTCTTTCCTTCCCGTCTGTCTTTTAAAAAATGGAGTGTTTCAGAAGTTTACTTTGTGTATCTACGTTTTCTAAATTGTCTCTCTTTTCTCCATTGTCTTCCTCCCTCCCTCCCTCCCTCCCTCCCTGCTCCCTTCCCTCCCTCCTTCCCTTTCGCCATCTGTCTCTTTTCCCCACTCCCCTCCCCCCGTCTGTCTCTGCGTGGATTCCGGAAGAGCCTACGCATTCTGCCTCTCCGTGTGTCTGCAGCGACCCGCGACCGAGTCCTTGTGTGTTCTTTCTCCCTCCCTCCCTCCCTCCCTCCCTCCCTCCCTGCTTCCGAGAGGCATCTCCAAACACCCACGCGCCGTGGGTTGTCTTCTGACTCTGTCGCGGTCGAGGCAGAGACGCGTTTTGGGCACCGTTTGTGTGGGGTTGGGGCAGAGGGGCTGCGTTTTCGGCCTCGGGAAGAGCTTCTCGACTCACGGTTTCGCTTTCGCGGTCCACGGGCCGCCCTGCCAGCCGGATCTGTCTCGCTGACGTCCGCGGCGGTTGTCGGGCTCCATCTGGCGGCCGCTTTGAGATCGTGCTCTCGGCTTCCGGAGCTGCGGTGGCAGCTGCCGAGGGAGGGGACCGTCCCCGCTGTGAGCTAGGCAGAGCTCCGGAAAGCCCCGGTCGTCAGCCCGGCTGGCCCGGTGGCGCCAGAGCTGTGGCGCGTCGCTTGTGAGTCACAGCTCTGGCGTGCAGGTTTATGTGGGGGAGAGGCTGTCGCTGCGCTTCTGGGCCCGCGGCGGGCGTGGGGCTGCCCGGGCCGGTCGACCAGCGCGCCGTAGCTCCCGAGGCCCGAGCCGCGACCCGCGGGGACCCGCCGCGCGTGGCGCGGGAGGCTGGGGACGCCCTTCCCGGCCCGGTCGCGGGTCCGCGCTCATCCTGGCCGTCTGAGGCGGCGGCCGAATTCGTTTCCGAGTCCCCGTGGGGAGCCGGGGACCGTCCCGCCCCCGTCCCCCGGGTGCCGGGGAGCGGTCCCCGGGCCGGGCCGCGGTCCCTCTGCCGCGATCCTTTCTGGCGAGTCCCCGTGCGGAGTCGGAGAGCGCTCCCTGAGCGCGCGTGCGGCCCGAGAGGTCGCGCCTGGCCGGCCTTCGGTCCCTCGTGTGTCCCGGTCGTAGGAGGGGCCGGCCGAAAATGCTTCCGGCTCCCGCTCTGGAGACACGGGCCGGCCCCCTGCGTGTGGCACGGGCGGCCGGGAGGGCGTCCCCGGCCCGGCGCTGCTCCCGCGTGTGTCCTGGGGTTGACCAGAGGGCCCCGGGCGCTCCGTGTGTGGCTGCGATGGTGGCGTTTTTGGGGACAGGTGTCCGTGTCGCGCGTCGCCTGGGCCGGCGGCGTGGTCGGTGACGCGACCTCCCGGCCCCGGGGGAGGTATATCTTTCGCTCCGAGTCGGCATTTTGGGCCGCCGGGTTATTGCTGACACGCTGTCCTCTGGCGACCTGTCGCTGGAGAGGTTGGGCCTCCGGATGCGCGCGGGGCTCTGGCCTACCGGTGACCCGGCTAGCCGGCCGCGCTCCTGCTTGAGCCGCCTGCCGGGGCCCGCGGGCCTGCTGTTCTCTCGCGCGTCCGAGCGTCCCGACTCCCGGTGCCGGCCCGGGTCCGGGTCTCTGACCCACCCGGGGGCGGCGGGGAAGGCGGCGAGGGCCACCGTGCCCCCGTGCGCTCTCCGCTGCGGGCGCCCGGGGCGGCCGCGACAACCCCACCCCGCTGGCTCCGTGCCGTGCGTGTCAGGCGTTCTCGTCTCCGCGGGGTTGTCCGCCGCCCCTTCCCCGGAGTGGGGGGTTGGCCGGAGCCGATCGGCTCGCTGGCCGGCCGGCCGGCCTCCGCTCCCGGGGGGCTCTTCGTGATCGATGTGGTGACGTCGTGCTCTCCCGGGCCGGGTCCGAGCCGCGACGGGCGAGGGGCGGACGTTCGTGGCGAACGGGACCGTCCTTCTCGCTCCGCCCCGCGGGGGTCCCCTCGTCTCTCCTCTCCCCGCCCGCCGGCGGTGCGTGTGGGAAGGCGTGGGGTGCGGACCCCGGCCCGACCTCGCCGTCCCGCCCGCCGCCTTCTGCGTCGCGGGTGCGGGCCGGCGGGGTCCTCTGACGCGGCAGACAGCCCTCGCTGTCGCCTCCAGTGGTTGTCGACTTGCGGGCGGCCCCCCTCCGCGGCGGTGGGGGTGCCGTCCCGCCGGCCCGTCGTGCTGCCCTCTCGGGGGGTTTGCGCGAGCGTCGGCTCCGCCTGGGCCCTTGCGGTGCTCCTGGAGCGCTCCGGGTTGTCCCTCAGGTGCCCGAGGCCGAACGGTGGTGTGTCGTTCCCGCCCCCGGCGCCCCCTCCTCCGGTCGCCGCCGCGGTGTCCGCGCGTGGGTCCTGAGGGAGCTCGTCGGTGTGGGGTTCGGGGCGGTTTGAGTGAGACGAGACGAGACGCGCCCCTCCCACGCGGGGAAGGGCGCCCGCCTGCTCTCGGTGAGCGCACGTCCCGTGCTCCCCTCTGGCGGGTGCGCGCGGGCCGTGTGAGCGATCGCGGTGGGTTCGGGCCGGTGTGACGCGTGCGCCGGCCGGCCGCCGAGGGGCTGCCGTTCTGCCTCCGACCGGTCGTGTGTGGGTTGACTTCGGAGGCGCTCTGCCTCGGAAGGAAGGAGGTGGGTGGACGGGGGGGCCTGGTGGGGTTGCGCGCACGCGCGCACCGGCCGGGCCCCCGCCCTGAACGCGAACGCTCGAGGTGGCCGCGCGCAGGTGTTTCCTCGTACCGCAGGGCCCCCTCCCTTCCCCAGGCGTCCCTCGGCGCCTCTGCGGGCCCGAGGAGGAGCGGCTGGCGGGTGGGGGGAGTGTGACCCACCCTCGGTGAGAAAAGCCTTCTCTAGCGATCTGAGAGGCGTGCCTTGGGGGTACCGGATCCCCCGGGCCGCCGCCTCTGTCTCTGCCTCCGTTATGGTAGCGCTGCCGTAGCGACCCGCTCGCAGAGGACCCTCCTCCGCTTCCCCCTCGACGGGGTTGGGGGGGAGAAGCGAGGGTTCCGCCGGCCACCGCGGTGGTGGCCGAGTGCGGCTCGTCGCCTACTGTGGCCCGCGCCTCCCCCTTCCGAGTCGGGGGAGGATCCCGCCGGGCCGGGCCCGGCGTCCCAGCGGGTTGGGACGCGGCGGCCGGCGGGCGGTGGGTGTGCGCGCCCGGCGCTCTGTCCGGCGCGTGACTCCCTCCGCCGCGAGTCGGCTCTCCGCCCGCTCCCGTGCCGAGTCGTGACCGGTGCCGACGACCGCGTTTGCGTGGCACGGGGTCGGGCCCGCCTGGCCCTGGGAAAGCGTCCCACGGTGGGGGCGCGCCGGTCTCCCGGAGCGGGACCGGGTCGGAGGATGGACGAGAATCACGAGCGACGGTGGTGGTGGCGTGTCGGGTTCGTGGCTGCGGTCGCTCCGGGGCCCCCGGTGGCGGGGCCCCGGGGCTCGTGAGGGGGTTCTCGGGGGGGGCCTAGGGCCTTCCGGCGTCCCAGGCGGGGCGCCGCGGGACCGCCCTCGTGTCTGTGGCGGTGGGATCCCGCGGCCGTGTTTTCCTGGTGGCCCGGCCGTGCCTGAGGTTTCTCCCCGAGCCGCCGCCTCTGCGGGCTCCCGGGTGCCCTTGCCCTCGCGGTCCCCGGCCCTCGCCCGTCTGTGCCCTCTTCCCCGCCCGCCGCCCGCCGATCCTCTTCTTCCCCCCGAGCGGCTCACCGGCTTCACGTCCGTTGGTGGCCCCGCCTGGGACCGAACCCGGCACCGCTCGTGGGCGCCGCGCCGCGCACTGATCGGCCCGGCGTCCCGCGTCCCCCGGCGCGCGCCTTGGGGACCGGGTCGGTGGCGCCCCGCGTGGAGCACGGGTGGATTTCACCGGAGTATATCCGGGGGTCGGCCTTTGCGGGCGTGCAGGGGGAGGAGACGGTTCCGGGGGACCGCCGCGACTGCGGCGGTGGTGGGGGGAGCCGCGGGGATCGCCGGAGGGCCGGTCGGCGCCCCGGGTGCCGCGCGGTGCCGCCGGGGCGTGAGGCCCCGCGCGTGTGTCCCGGCTGCGGTCGGCCGCGCTCGAGGGGTCCCCGTGGCGTCCCCTTCCCCGCCGGCCGCCTTTCTCGCGCCTTCCCCGTCGCCCCGGCCTCGCCCGTGGTCTCTCGTCTTCTCCCGGCCCGCTCTTCCGAACCGGGTCGGCGCGTCCCCCGGGTGCGCCTCGCTTCCCGGGCCTGCCGCGGCCCTTCCCCGAGGCGTCCGTCCCGGGCGTCGGCGTCGGGGAGAGCCCGTCCTCCCCGCGTGGCGTCGCCCCGTTCGGCGCGCGCGTGCGCCGAGCGCGGCCCGGTGGTCCCTCCCGGACAGGCGTTCGTGCGACGTGTGGCGTGGGTCGACCTCCGCCTTGCCGGTCGCTCGCCCTCTCCCCGGGTCGGGGGGTGGGGCCCGGGCCGGGGCATCGGCGGTCGCGGTCCCCCGTCCCGGGCGGGGGCGGGCGCGCCGGCCGGCCTCGGTCGCCCTCCCTTGGCCGTCGTGTGGCGTGTGCCACCCCTGCGCCCGCGCCGCCGTCAGGGGTCGGAGCCGGGCTTCGGCCGGGCCCCGGGCCCTCGACCGGACCGGTGCGCGGGCGCTGCGGCCGCACGGCGCGACTGTCCCCGGGCCGGGCACCGCGGTCCGCCTCTCGCTCGCCGCCCGGACGTCGGGGCCGCCCCGCGGGGCGGGCGGAGCGCCGTCCCCGCCTCGCCGCCGCCCGCGGGCGCCGGCCGCGCGCGCGCGCGCGTGGCCGCCGGTCCCTCCCGGCCGCCGGGCGCGGGTCGGGCCGTCCGCCTCCTCGCGGGCGGGCGCGACGAAGAAGCGTCGCGGGTCTGTGGCGCGGGGCCCCGGTGGTCGTGTCGCGTGGGGGGCGGGTGGTTGGGGCGTCCGGTTCGCCGCGCCCCGCCCCGGCCCCACCGGTCCCGGCCGCCGCCCCCGCGCCCGCTCGCTCCCTCCCGTCCGCCCGTCCGCGGCCCGTCCGTCCGTCCGTCGTCCTCCTCGCTTGCGGGGCGCCGGGCCCGTCCTCGCGAGGCCCCCCGGCCGGCCGTCCGGCCGCGTCGGGGCCTCGCCGCGCTCTACCTTACCTACCTGGTTGATCCTGCCAGTAGCATATGCTTGTCTCAAAGATTAAGCCATGCATGTCTGAGTACGCACGGCCGGTACAGTGAACTGCGAATGGCTCATTAAATCAGTTATGGTTCCTTTGGTCGCTCGCTCCTCTCCTACTTGGATAACTGTGGTAATTCTAGAGCTAATACATGCCGACGGGCGCTGACCCCCTTCGCGGGGGGGATGCGTGCATTTATCAGATCAAAACCAACCCGGTCAGCCCCTCTCCGGCCCCGGCCGGGGGGCGGGCGCCGGCGGCTTTGGTGACTCTAGATAACCTCGGGCCGATCGCACGCCCCCCGTGGCGGCGACGACCCATTCGAACGTCTGCCCTATCAACTTTCGATGGTAGTCGCCGTGCCTACCATGGTGACCACGGGTGACGGGGAATCAGGGTTCGATTCCGGAGAGGGAGCCTGAGAAACGGCTACCACATCCAAGGAAGGCAGCAGCCGAAAAGATTACCCACTCCCGACCCGGGGAGGTAGTGACGAAAAATAACAATACAGGACTCTTTCAGGCCCTGTATTGGAATGAGTCCACTTTAAATCCTTTAACGAGGATCCATTGGAGGGCAAGTCTGGTGCCAGCAGCCGCGGTAATTCCAGCTCCAATAGCGTATATTAAAGTTGCTGCAGTTAAAAAGCTCGTAGTTGGATCTTGGGAGCGGGCGGGCGGTCCGCCGCGAGGCGAGCCACCGCCCGTCCCCGCCCCTTGCCTCTCGGCGCCCCCTCGATGCTCTTAGCTGAGTGTCCCGCGGGGCCCGAAGCGTTTACTTTGAAAAAATTAGAGTGTTCAAAGCAGGCCCGAGCCGCCTGGATACCGCAGCTAGGAATAATGGAATAGGACCGCGGTTCTATTTTGTTGGTTTTCGGAACTGAGGCCATGATTAAGAGGGACGGCCGGGGGCATTCGTATTGCGCCGCTAGAGGTGAAATTCTTGGACCGGCGCAAGACGGACCAGAGCGAAAGCATTTGCCAAGAATGTTTTCATTAATCAAGAACGAAAGTCGGAGGTTCGAAGACGATCAGATACCGTCGTAGTTCCGACCATAAACGATGCCGACCGGCGATGCGGCGGCGTTATTCCCATGACCCGCCGGGCAGCTTCCGGGAAACCAAAGTCTTTGGGTTCCGGGGGGAGTATGGTTGCAAAGCTGAAACTTAAAGGAATTGACGGAAGGGCACCACCAGGAGTGGAGCCTGCGGCTTAATTTGACTCAACACGGGAAACCTCACCCGGCCCGGACACGGACAGGATTGACAGATTGATAGCTCTTTCTCGATTCCGTGGGTGGTGGTGCATGGCCGTTCTTAGTTGGTGGAGCGATTTGTCTGGTTAATTCCGATAACGAACGAGACTCTGGCATGCTAACTAGTTACGCGACCCCCGAGCGGTCGGCGTCCCCCCAACTTCTTAGAGGGACAAGTGGCGTTCAGCCACCCGAGATTGAGCAATAACAGGTCTGTGATGCCCTTAGATGTCCGGGGCTGCACGCGCGCTACACTGACTGGCTCAGCGTGTGCCTACCCTACGCCGGCGGTGGGGGTAACCCGTTGAACCCCATTCGTGATGGGGATCGGGGATTGCAATTATTCCCCATGAACGAGGAATTCCCAGTAAGTGCGGGTCATAAGCTTGCGTTGATTAAGTCCCTGCCCTTTGTACACACCGCCCGTCGCTACTACCGATTGGATGGTTTAGTGAGGCCCTCGGATCGGCCCCGCCGGGTCGGCCCACGGCCTGGCGAACGCTGAGAAGACGGTCGAACTTGACTATCTAGAGGAAGTAAAAGTCGTAACAAGGTTTCCGTAGGTGAACCTGCGGAAGGATCATTAACGGAGCCCGGAGGTGTGCCCGCGGCGGCGCCGCCGCCGCCGCGCGCTTCCCTCCGCACACCCACCCCCCCACCGCGACGCGGCGCGTGCGCGGGCGGGGCCCGCGTGCCCGTTCGTTCGCTCGCTCGTTCGTTCGCCGCCCGGCCCCGCCGGCCGCGAGAGCCGGAGAACTCGGGAGGGAGACGGGGGAGAGAGAGAGAGAGAGAGAAAGAGAAAGAAGGGCGTGTCGTTGGTGTGCGCGTGTCGTGGGGCCGGCGGGCGGCGGGGAGCGGTCCCCGGCCGCGGCCCCGACGACGTGGGTGTCGGCGGGCGCGGGGGCGGTTCTCGGCGGCGTCGCGGCGGGTCTGGGGGGGTCTCGGTGCCCTCCTCCCCGCCGGGGCCCGTCGTCCGGCCCCGCCGCGCCGGCTCCCCGTCTTCGGGGCCGGCCGGATTCCCGTCGCCTCCGCCGCGCCGCTCCGCGCCGCCGGGCACGGCCCCGCTCGCTCTCCCCGGCCTTCCCGCTAGGGCGTCTCGAGGGTCGGGGGCCGGACGCCGGTCCCCTCCCCCGCCTCCTCGTCCGCCCCCCCGCCGTCCAGGTACCTAGCGCGTTCCGGCGCGGAGGTTTAAAGACCCCTTGGGGGGATCGCCCGTCCGCCCGTGGGTCGGGGGCGGTGGTGGGCCCGCGGGGGAGTCCCGTCGGGAGGGGCCCGGCCCCTCCCGCGCCTCCACCGCGGACTCCGCTCCCCGGCCGGGGCCGCGCCGCCGCCGCCGCCGCGGCGGCCGTCGGGTGGGGGCTTTACCCGGCGGCCGTCGCGCGCCTGCCGCGCGTGTGGCGTGCGCCCCGCGCCGTGGGGGCGGGAACCCCCGGGCGCCTGTGGGGTGGTGTCCGCGCTCGCCCCCGCGTGGGCGGCGCGCGCCTCCCCGTGGTGTGAAACCTTCCGACCCCTCTCCGGAGTCCGGTCCCGTTTGCTGTCTCGTCTGGCCGGCCTGAGGCAACCCCCTCTCCTCTTGGGCGGGGGGGGGGGGGACGTGCCGCGCCAGGAAGGGCCTCCTCCCGGTGCGTCGTCGGGAGCGCCCTCGCCAAATCGACCTCGTACGACTCTTAGCGGTGGATCACTCGGCTCGTGCGTCGATGAAGAACGCAGCTAGCTGCGAGAATTAATGTGAATTGCAGGACACATTGATCATCGACACTTCGAACGCACTTGCGGCCCCGGGTTCCTCCCGGGGCTACGCCTGTCTGAGCGTCGCTTGCCGATCAATCGCCCCCGGGGGTGCCTCCGGGCTCCTCGGGGTGCGCGGCTGGGGGTTCCCTCGCAGGGCCCGCCGGGGGCCCTCCGTCCCCCTAAGCGCAGACCCGGCGGCGTCCGCCCTCCTCTTGCCGCCGCGCCCGCCCCTTCCCCCTCCCCCCGCGGGCCCTGCGTGGTCACGCGTCGGGTGGCGGGGGGGAGAGGGGGGCGCGCCCGGCTGAGAGAGACGGGGAGGGCGGCGCCGCCGCCGCCCGCGAAGACGGAGAGGGAAAGAGAGAGCCGGCTCGGGCCGAGTTCCCGTGGCCGCCGCCTGCGGTCCGGGTTCCTCCCTCGGTGGGGCTCCCTCGCGCCGCGCGCGGCTCGGGGGTCGGGGTTCGTCGGCCCCGGCCGGGTGGAAGGTCCCGTGCCCGTCGTCGTCGTCGTCGTCGCGCGTCGTCGGCGGTGGGGGCGTGTTGCGTGCGGTGTGGTGGTGGGGGAGGAGGAAGGCGGGTCCGGAAGGGGAAGGGTGCCGGCGGGGAGAGAGGGTCGGGGGAGCGCGTCCCGGTCGCCGCGGTTCGCCGCCCGCCCCCGGTGGCGGCCCGGCGTCCGGCCGACCGCCGCTCCCGCGCCCCTCCTCCTCCCCGCCGCCCCTCCTCCGAGGCCCCGCCGTCCTACCTCGCCCTCCCCGCGCGTACGCGCGCGCGCCCGCCCGCCCGGCTCGCCTCGCGGCGCGTCGGCCGGGGCCGGGAGCCCGCCCCGCGGCCCGCCCGGCCGCGCCCGTGGCCGCGGCGCCGGGGTTCGCGTGTCCCCGGCGGCGACCCGCGAGACGCCGCGGTGTCGTCCGCCGTCGCGCGCCCGCCTCCGGCTCGCGGCCGCGCCGCGCCGCGCCGGGGCCCCGTCCCGAGCTTCCGCGTCGGGGCGGGGCGGCTCCGCCGCCGCGTCCTCGGACCCGTCCCCCCGACCTCCGCGGGGGAGACGGGTCGGGGCGTGCGGCGCCCGTCCCGCCCCCGGCCCGTGCCCCTCCCTCCGGTCGTCCCGCTCCGGCGGGGCGGCGCGGGGGTGCCGCCGGCCGCGCGCTCTCTCTCCCGTCGCCTCTCCCCCTCGCCGGGCCCGTCTCCCGACGGAGCGTCGGGCGGGCGGTCGGGCCGGCGCGATTCCGTCCGTCCGTCCGCCGAGCGGCCCGTCCCCCTCCGAGACGCGACCTCAGATCAGACGTGGCGACCCGCTGAATTTAAGCATATTAGTCAGCGGAGGAAAAGACACTAACCAGGATTCCCTCAGTAACGGCGAGTGAACAGGGAAGAGCCCAGCGCCGAATCCCCGCCCCGCGGCGGGGCGCGGGACATGTGGCGTACGGAAGACCCGCTCCCCGGCGCCGCTCGTGGGGGGCCCAAGTCCTTCTGATCGAGGCCCAGCCCGTGGACGGTGTGAGGCCGGTAGCGGCCCCCGGCGCGCCGGGCCCGGGTCTTCCCGGAGTCGGGTTGCTTGGGAATGCAGCCCAAAGCGGGTGGTAAACTCCATCTAAGGCTAAATACCGGCACGAGACCGATAGTCAACAAGTACCGTAAGGGAAAGTTGAAAAGAACTTTGAAGAGAGAGTTCAAGAGGGCGTGAAACCGTTAAGAGGTAAACGGGTGGGGTCCGCGCAGTAAAGGGGCGGAGGATTCAACCCGGCGGCGGGTCCGGCCGTGTCGCCGGCCCGGCGGATCTTTCCCGCCCCCCGTTCCTCCCGACCCCTCCACCCGCCCTCCCTTCCCCCGCCGCCCCTCCTCCTCCTCCCCGGAGGGGGCGGGCTCCGGCGGGTGCGGGGGTGGGCGGGCGGGGCCGGGGGTGGGGTCGGCGGGGGACCGTCCCCCGACCGGCGACCGGCCGCCGCCGGGCGCATTTCCACCGCGGCGGTGCGCCGCGACCGGCTCCGGGACGGCTGGGAAGGCCCGGCGGGGAAGGTGGCTCGGGGGGCCCCGTCCGTCCGTCCGTCCGTCCTCCTCCTCCCCCGTCTCCGCCCCCCGGCCCCGCGTCCTCCCTCGGGAGGGCGCGCGGGTCGGGGCGGCGGCGGCGGCGGCGGTGGCGGCGGCGGCGGCGGCGGCGGGACCGAAACCCCCCCCGAGTGTTACAGCCCCCCCGGCAGCAGCACTCGCCGAATCCCGGGGCCGAGGGAGCGAGACCCGTCGCCGCGCTCTCCCCCCTCCCGGCGCCCACCCCCGCGGGGAATCCCCCGCGAGGGGGGTCTCCCCCGCGGGGGCGCGCCGGCGTCTCCTCGTGGGGGGGCCGGGCCACCCCTCCCACGGCGCGACCGCTCTCCCACCCCTCCTCCCCGCGCCCCCGCCCCGGCGACGGGGGGGGTGCCGCGCGCGGGTCGGTTAGCGGGGCGGACTGTCCCCAGTGCGCCCCGGGCGGGTCGCGCCGTCGGGCCCGGGGGGAGGTTCTCTCGGGGCCACGCGCGCGTCCCCCGAAGAGGGGGACGGCGGAGCGAGCGCACGGGGTCGGCGGCGACGTCGGCTACCCACCCGACCCGTCTTGAAACACGGACCAAGGAGTCTAACACGTGCGCGAGTCGGGGGCTCGCACGAAAGCCGCCGTGGCGCAATGAAGGTGAAGGCCGGCGCGCTCGCCGGCCGAGGTGGGATCCCGAGGCCTCTCCAGTCCGCCGAGGGCGCACCACCGGCCCGTCTCGCCCGCCGCGCCGGGGAGGTGGAGCACGAGCGCACGTGTTAGGACCCGAAAGATGGTGAACTATGCCTGGGCAGGGCGAAGCCAGAGGAAACTCTGGTGGAGGTCCGTAGCGGTCCTGACGTGCAAATCGGTCGTCCGACCTGGGTATAGGGGCGAAAGACTAATCGAACCATCTAGTAGCTGGTTCCCTCCGAAGTTTCCCTCAGGATAGCTGGCGCTCTCGCAGACCCGACGCACCCCCGCCACGCAGTTTTATCCGGTAAAGCGAATGATTAGAGGTCTTGGGGCCGAAACGATCTCAACCTATTCTCAAACTTTAAATGGGTAAGAAGCCCGGCTCGCTGGCGTGGAGCCGGGCGTGGAATGCGAGTGCCTAGTGGGCCACTTTTGGTAAGCAGAACTGGCGCTGCGGGATGAACCGAACGCCGGGTTAAGGCGCCCGATGCCGACGCTCATCAGACCCCAGAAAAGGTGTTGGTTGATATAGACAGCAGGACGGTGGCCATGGAAGTCGGAATCCGCTAAGGAGTGTGTAACAACTCACCTGCCGAATCAACTAGCCCTGAAAATGGATGGCGCTGGAGCGTCGGGCCCATACCCGGCCGTCGCCGGCAGTCGAGAGTGGACGGGAGCGGCGGGGGCGGCGCGCGCGCGCGCGCGTGTGGTGTGCGTCGGAGGGCGGCGGCGGCGGCGGGGGTGTGTGGGGTCCTCCCCCGCCCCCCCCCCACGCCTCCTCCCCTCCTCCCGCCCACGCCCCGCTCCCCGCCCCCGGAGCCCCGCGGACGCTACGCCGCGACGAGTAGGAGGGCCGCTGCGGTGAGCCTTGAAGCCTAGGGCGCGGGCCCGGGTGGAGCCGCCGCAGGTGCAGATCTTGGTGGTAGTAGCAAATATTCAAACGAGAACTTTGAAGGCCGAAGTGGAGAAGGGTTCCATGTGAACAGCAGTTGAACATGGGTCAGTCGGTCCTGAGAGATGGGCGAGCGCCGTTCCGAAGGGACGGGCGATGGCCTCCGTTGCCCTCGGCCGATCGAAAGGGAGTCGGGTTCAGATCCCCGAATCCGGAGTGGCGGAGATGGGCGCCGCGAGGCGTCCAGTGCGGTAACGCGACCGATCCCGGAGAAGCCGGCGGGAGCCCCGGGGAGAGTTCTCTTTTCTTTGTGAAGGGCAGGGCGCCCTGGAATGGGTTCGCCCCGAGAGAGGGGCCCGTGCCTTGGAAAGCGTCGCGGTTCCGGCGGCGTCCGGTGAGCTCTCGCTGGCCCTTGAAAATCCGGGGGAGAGGGTGTAAATCTCGCGCCGGGCCGTACCCATATCCGCAGCAGGTCTCCAAGGTGAACAGCCTCTGGCATGTTGGAACAATGTAGGTAAGGGAAGTCGGCAAGCCGGATC